>NT_187534.1:0-162429 GCF_000001405.40 Homo sapiens | reverse complement strand
ACAGCCGGATGTCACTGTATGCCTTTTATATTGGCAAAATATAGAAATACAGGTAGTGCCAAGTATTGGCAGGGATGTGGGACATAGCCACTCCTGTACCCTGCTGGCGAGAGGACAGATTGAGAGGAGTCGGCATTGGCAGTGTTCCGGGGCACACACAGGCATTGTTAGTCACATTCGGTATAACATGCTAGCAATGCCTCCACGAGGTATACATCCCAGGCCGCTCTTATGCAATTCTGTAAGGAGAGGTGTATGCAAATGTTGCCTGCACAGGAATTAGTGGTGGGAGCTGGAGACTCCCTGAGTTTCCATCACTGAGATGGAGAAATAAAATACAGTGAATGCACGCCAGGGAGTACGATGAAACAGGACTGAGGCAAAATAATAGACGTACACATAGCAGCATAGACGGATCTTAAGAACAGTGAAAAATGGGGGAAAAGCATGTAAAAGCGTTAGAAATAATGAGATAGAATATGTACATAAATTTAAAATACTGCAAATGCTATTTGTATGAAAATATGCGAACAAAACGATACACATGAAAGAACTAGGAATCATGTGCAGTGAGAGAAGGAAATGGAATTGCAGGATGGGGACTAAAAGGAATAAGGAAGTAAATAATTCACGAGGGGGTTTCCCAGGGACCAACGATGCTGACATCCAGGGGCCAAGGAGTAGGAGTAACTCAACTCTGTACATCTGACTTCTAAGACTAGCAGCAGCAACCACCACCATTTGAGCCCCAAGAAAGCAAGCTCAGGTTCTGCACCTTCTCTTTCTCTGAGATCTCCCCTCAAAGGTCACAGGCTGAGTCACTGGAAAATGGCAGAGCCCTGCCCCACATCACTCCCCACTCTTACGTATAAATGAAATGACACACACCTCTGATCTCCAGTGGGCTAAAGAGGTTGGCACCTGCATGGAGGTTCATGCCCCTTGAGGCAGAATTGACTTTGCTGCAGGGAAGGATGCTTTCCATTCTCTTTCCCACCAACTCTCCCACCTTTGATTCCAATCAAGTCACCAACCAAACTGAAATGCAATAGGCATAAGCTCAATGCTTGCCTTTGATCAAGACCCTCATGACAGACGGAGGAAACACAACCAACTCAGAGTGATGTCTTAGATCTTGCCCACCTGGGCCAGGCGCGGTGGCTCACGCCTGTAATCCCAGCACTTTGGGAGGCCAAGGTGGGCGGCTCACCTGAGGTCGGGAGTTTGAGATCAGCCTGAACAACATGGAGAAACCCCGTCTCTACTAAAAATACAAAAAAAAATAGTTGGGTGTGGTACACATGCCTGTAATCCCAGCTACTTGGGAGGCTGAAGCAGGAGAATTGCCTGAACCTGGGAGGCAGAGGTTGCGGTGAGTGGAGATCGTGCCACTGCACTCCAGCCTGGGCCACAAGAGCGAAACTCCATCTCCAAAAAAAAAAAAAAAAAAACAATTTTGCCCACTGGGAGAGGGCCCAAAACAGTGAGGTGACATCTGGCCTGACACTTGCCTGACAAGTTCTCTGGGCTGATGGAGAATGAGCTTGAACCCTCTTATGAAATCTATCCTGCCTGAACTCTCAGTCCCAGAAACCCTGGAGGCCCTGAGAGAGCCGGAAAAATCATGAGGCTTATCAGTTGTTCTTGGGTCCCATTTCCCACCGTGGCTATTCCAACCCCCAACTGCTACCCCTGACATCCCCAACCCTATCCCACAAACAATTGAGAACCAAGGCCAGGTTACCAGTCCAAAGTGAGGAACACAGAGATTGAGATCCAGGGATGCAGAGGAGAGCTGGGGTGGGAAGAGTGAGGGAGGCCCTGCCACTCAGGCTCATAAATGTGTAAAAGGAAAATAAATCTTGGGACCCAAAAATCACTAAGCCAAGAGAAAAGTCCAGCCGGGAACTGTCAGGCAAACCTGCCTCCCATTCTATTCCTGGATAAGATAGCTACAAAGACAAGAAGCTACAGACCTCCCTCACAATTTGCCCGTGGGAAAATTCCCTGTGGACGAAGGCCAGGCAGAGCTCCAAGTCTCCCTCTGAGGCCCACCAGACACAAACGCACATCTGATGGCTGCCTCTGCCCTACCGTTTATGTAAAAATGCAGATTCACTGAGCCAGACTAAATTGTGTATTCAGTGGAAGGCTGATCAAGGACTCAAAAGAATGCAACCTTTTGTCTCTTATCTGCTTCCTACCTGGAAGCCCTCACTTCCAGTTGTCCTGCCTTACAAAATTGAACCAATGTACATCTTACACACATGGATTGATGTCGCATGTCTCTCTAAAATGTACAGAATGAAACTGTAAGGCCGAGTACGGTGGCTCACGCCTGTCATCTCAGCACTTTGGGAGGCTGAGGCGGGCAGATCACCATTGGTTGGAAGTTCGAGACCAGCCTGGCCAACATGGAGAAACCCTGTCTCTACTAAAAATACAAAATTAGCTGGGCGTGATGGCGCATGCCTGTAATGGAGAATCGCTTGAACCCGGGAGCCAGAGGTTGCGGTGAGCCGAGATCACGCCACTGCACTCCAGCCTGGGCAATAAGAATGAAACTCCGTCTCAAAAGAAAAAGAAAAACGGTATCCCCGACCACCTGGGGCACATGTCGTCAGGACTTCCTGAGGCTGTGTCACAGGCGTGTCCTTAACCTTGGCAAAATAAACTTTCTAAATTGACTGAGACCTGTCTCAGATATTTGGGGTTCACAGATGGAAACAGAAAGTCAAGTGGTCATAATAGTGCTGCGAACCCCCTGGCCAGCACCGGGCCCTGACTCCCAGGCCAACTCTCACTTTTCCTCACTATCATGGTGATGACTATACAGTTATTACTATATAAGGAGTCTCTTCTAGGACACCAGCATTGCATTCCACAAACAAGTCTGTAATAAATAAGATCCCTAGGAAAAAGGAGAGTCTCAGGATCCATGGTAATGGAGTTTGTGTAGGTAGAATTTTTTAATCATGTTTTCCTTCTGGGTCCAGAAAGTCAGCTTCTGTGCCTGCCTTAATGCTTCATCCTGGAAAGCTCAGGGTAAGCTGGGTCTTGCTGCTGAAAGGTGTTCTAAGGACAGCAGTTGGTCAGTGATGGTATAAAATGCCTGTGCACAGTAGGCCTCTCCAAATGTTAGCTCCCTTCCCTACCTCCATTTTCCTTCTCCCGCGTTGTTTTCACTGAGGAGTCATGCTGGACCCCAGGAGATCTGGCCTCTGGTCTTGGCTCAGGTGTCTTTTTACAGCCTGGTCTTAAGCAAGAGGCTCTCCCTCCCTGTAGCCTTCTGTTTCGCTGACTCTAGTTTCTCATGTTTAGAAACGGAGCTAGTATCATCTATCTTGGTGGTACCCAGCTTGGTCCCCACTCCCTTTTTTCTAGCCTTTGGAAAATGAAAAATATTAAATTTTAATTTTTTAAATAGAAAACTATAAAAAGAAGCTATAATTAACCATGATCCAGGTAAGCTGTGTTGGCATTAAAAGATGGGAAGGAGGCACATGATTAGAAAATAGAATCAAGGGCAAGGTGTGGTGGCTCACGCCTGTAATCCCAGCACTTTGGGAGGCCAAGGTGGGTGGATCACCTGAGGCCAGGGGTTCGAGACCAGCCTGGCCAACATGATGAAACCTGTCTCTACTAAAAATACAAAAATTAGCTGGGCATGTGGCGTGTGCCTGCAGTCCCAGCTATTCATGAGGCTGAAACAGGAGAATCACTTGAACCCGGGAGGCAGAGGTCGCAGTGAGCTGAGATCGCGCCACTGCACTCCAGCCTGGGTGACACAGTGAGTCTCCGTCTCAAAAAAAAAAAAAAAAAATAGCATCAACATGGAAACATACTAAATGAAAATTGAGGAGTTACCTTCTCCCATTCCCACTTTCCATAGTAACTACCTCCCAAAAGTAAACTATTAACAGTTTCTTATCATTCCATCCAGAAAAATTATGCATATATATTGACATGCCCTGTTTTTAAAAAGTACACAAAATTGGTCATATCCTAAATAGTATTCTCTAATTTGTTATTTTAAACTTAATAATATATCTTTTATACATATATATAAATCTATTTTATTCTCTATAACAGCTAAATAATATTTTGTGAAATGGACATACGATTCAGTCCAGGAAGATTTTGAAGTTTCTCTCTTTTTTTTTTTTTTTTTTTTTGCGAACACTCGCTCATCCTCTTGCCCCTTGATTTTCTCCTGAGAGTCTGACTTGGCCAGGAGCTGTGATTCAGGTGACAAGTAAGATAGAGAAGTTTCTGTGTACCCAAACGTCCGCGGCAAAATTGCTGTGAAACTGTTATGGGTGACAGTGTTTGCTTGTTTCCCTTACTAGAGAAAAGTTCCAAAGTCAATAGCCAGTTTGCCATATATCTTGATGGCTGAACATTTTGGACAAACTTCAATGTTTTCAACAATAAAATTCCAGATTTGGAAAGGACCTGTAGGTCATTTGGCTTAACCTCCTTGAACTCACTGTAGAAATTTCTTCTACAAGCCTCTGTGTTATCTTTTTTTTTTTTTTTTTTCTGAGACGGAGTTTCGCTCTTGTTACCCAGGCTGGAGTGCAGTGGCACAATCTCAGCTCACCACAGACTCCTTCCCCCAGGATCAAGCTATTCTCCTGCCTCAGCCTCCTGAGTAGCTGGGATTACACGCATGCGCCAACACACCCAGCTAATTTTGTATTTTTAGTAGAGACGGGATTTCTCCATGTTGGTCAGGTTGGTCTCGAACTCCTGACCTCAGGTGATCCACCCACCTTGGCCTCCCAAAGTCTGGGATTATAGGCATAAGCCACCGTGCCTGGCCTGTGTTATCATTTACTGTCACTATATCATAATATCGAACAACTTTTACTAACAGAAATTCTTCCTCATTTCCCCAGACCAGTCACCATGCAATGTCCCCGCACTGGCCCCACTCTGCCCTTTAAAACATCCTTGAACATGTGTGTTCCTCTTCCCACACAGCTCTCCAGATGATTGAGGACCACACTCACATCCCTCTGAATCCACTGTTTATTCCTTTAACAAATATCTCTCTAGAGCCTGCCATGTTTCCAGCACGGAGGCAGGCACCTTGTAAACTCCACGAAGGCAGAGAGGTCAGTCTAACTTGCTTCATGTGGTAACCACAGCACCTAAAAGGGCTTTCTGTGCAGTAGGCATTTAATACATATTTGTTGAATAAATGAATGAATACGAAGGTGGATAACATAGTCTCTGTCCTCAAGGAACTCTTAGTGTAATGGGAGTGGGGGAACAGAACTATAGGCAATTCTAATCTAGGAGCCATGAGAGAATGTGAGTAGCAGAACCTCAAAGGACAGGCCCCTAACCCAGCATTCGTTACCTTCCCTTCTCCACTGTGAGGGATCATCCATTACCTTCCCTTCTCCACCACCTCCCTCATGCACTGTGATGTCAGCCACATCATTCTGTCATGGTATGTCTGCGTGTCTGTTTCCCAATGAACTGTCAGCTCTTTGAGGACAGGGACTGAGTTTTATTTAGCTTTATAACCCTAATGCTTAGCACAGGGTCTGGCCTAGAGGATGCATTTCTTATTTATTTATTTACTTAGATTCATTTTATTTATTTATTCGCTCTTGTTGCCCAGGCTGGAGTGCAGCGGCATGATCTTGGCTCACTGCAACCTCCACCTCCTGGGTTCAAGTGATTCTCCTGCCTCAGCCTCCCAAGTAGCTGAGATTACAAGTGCCCACCATATGCCTGGCTAATTTTTGTATTTTTTAGTGGAGACGGGGTTTCACCACGTTGGCCAGGCTGGTCTCCAACTCCTGACCTCAAGTGATCCGCCCACCTCAGCCTCCCAGAGTGCAGGGATTACAGGCGTGAGCCACCATGCCCGGCCCATATTCGTTAAATGAAGTGACTGACGGATGAATGGATGGCTAAATGAATTAATATATTAACACTCCCACAGAAAAAAAATGAAGTATCTGCTTTCATGGGATTAAATTAGTCTTGCCTGATATTTTATCAATACAAAAACTTAGTGAAATAGAAGTGACAGCAATCTTGGGAGGAAACGACCATGACACCTAGGGCTCCACAGAGCCTCACTGTTTCAACCAACATTGAATGAGCACCTACTCTGTGCCAGGTGTGCTGCCAGACTCTAGGTCAAGACAAATGAGACACAGCTCCTGCCTTGAAGGTGCTCCCCGACTAGATGAGGAGATGCACATGGAAATCACGAGGCCGCAGGTGACTCTGACAGGGTGACAAGGGTGCTGTGCAGGGTGGGATGGTCAGGAAAGCCACTTGGAAGAGAAGACGCCTGAACGGGGTCCCGAGGAAACTGTCCGGGTAAGGAGATGAAGGAAGGCCATTCTAGGTGGAGGGAGCAACAGGGGCAGAGCCCGAAGGGTGAGGACAGGCCGTTTGCAGGTACTGCATAGCACCTGGGGAGAGCAGGGAGTGGAGGGAGGGGGAGCGGTGGAGGTGGGGCCAGATCGGGAAGGGCCTTATAGGGCTGCTAAGGAATTTGGACTTGACCGTGATGAGGCCATGAGGGAGCCATTGAAAGAATTCCAAACTCCCAGGATAATCAGATTTTTTGCGTTTTAGAAGATTGTTCTTACAGCACTTTAGAAAATGGATTAGGCTTGCACGGTTGGTGGCTCACACCTGTAATTCCAGCACTTTGGGAGGCTGAGGTGGGAGGATCACTTGAGGCTAGTCGGCCTCCCCAAGTGCTTGGATTCCGGGTGTGAGCAGCACTGTCTCCCTGGCTGCTTCAGTCTTCTGCAGACAAAAGGCTCTGTTAAATTTGCAAGTTACAAGCACCTGAGCCACACAATGGGCCAATCAACCAAATCATGTGTAAAGCTATCTCCTGGCTGTGAGGAATAAAATCAATATTTTAAGACCTTAATTTTTCAAATGCTATACCCCAGAGGTGATTCATAACTTGAGGAGCGCCTCAGTAGGAGAACACGGGCTAAGGATTTGTGTGAACATGGCTTAGCCTGCAATTTCCCATATGCAATCGGTCAAAGGGCTGACAAAAGATAAAATCACAGAACTGTTCTGACACAGCTTCCCAGGGAGATCCCAGAGGAGCCAGGCTGCTCCCGCTAAGAAGCCTAGACTCAAAATAAGGAGAGAAGAAACTTGCACTAAGGAAGGAGCTGCGGCCCCCAGGGCTCTCCGAGTGCTGGTGTCTTCAAGAATTCCTGCATCCTTTGCACAAAGTGGGGCTGGTAAAGTGGCAGGGGTGGGGTGGGAACGGGGGAGAATGGGACTCTTCCAAACACTACCTTTAGAATAAAGTGTAAAATATTGGCCGGGCGGGGTGGCTCACACCTGTAATCCTACGAGGTGGGCGGATCAACTGAGGTCAGGAGTTCGAGATAAGCCTGGCCAACATGGTGAAACCCTGTCTCTACTAAAAATACAAAAATTAGCTGGGTGTGGTGGCGGGCGCCTATAATCCCAGCTACTTGGGAGGCTGAGGCAGGAGAATCATTTGAACCCAGGAGGCGGAGGTTGCAGTGAGCCGAGATTGCACCATCGTGCCATTGCACTCCAGCCTGGGGGACAAGAACGAGACTTCGCTAAAAAAAAAAAAAAAAAGTAAGCTATTTTCTGAGAAAGTGCCAGTCGTCTTGTATCCCTGCCCCTAAATCATCACTTCATGCAGGAAATTAGCCTCCTGTCCGTGGTGCATGTGCCATTAGGACCATGTGTCACTGAGTGGACTGGCATGGGGGTGGCGGATCAAGTTAAGAGTGTGGATGGAGGCCGGGTGCGGTGGCTCACTCCTGTAATCCCAGCACTTTGGGAGGCTGAGGCGGGCGGATCACTTGAGGTTGGGAGTTCAAGACCAGCCTGACCAACATGGAGAAACCTCATCTCTACTAAAAATACAAAATTAGCCAGGTGTGGTGGTGCGCGCCTGTAATCCCAGCTACTCGGGAAGCTGAGGCAGGAGAATTTCTTGAACCCGGGAGGCGGAGGTTGCGGTGAACCAAGATCGTGCCATTGCACTACTCCAGCCTGGGCAACAAGAGCGAAACTCCGTCTCAAAAAAAAAAAAAAAAAAGAGTGTGGATGGTTTGGTAAAAACTCACCTCACTAACGGAGGAAGCAACCAAACCCAGCCTAGAGAAATGGAGGCGGCGTAGCATCGTGGATGCTCCTGGATTGGCATGAAGAAGCCTTGAGTTCTGAGTCCCGGGCTCTGCCACTGTGTGACCTTGGACAAGACAACGATCCCTCTCAGCATCAGTTTCTGTAACACTAAAATAATGATAATAATCTCCTCCGTACTGGGTTCTTGGGAAGATGAAATGCGGTTAAGAAGATTTGCAGGAGCACTTTGCTGTTCCCTCAGACTGTGTATTAGTCAGGACACTGCTTTGGTTTCTGTAACAGAGACCAAAATAATAATGGCTTAAACGAAATAGAATTTATTTTTCTCTCACATGAAGCCCCACGCTGGTGTGGCTGCTCTGGCCTGTGAGGTCATCAGAGCCCCGCTTCTTCTGTCTTACTGGCTTCCTTAGCCTGCTCCAAGATGGCTCCCTGCCAGGACCACATGCCAGCCAGCAGAAGGGGCGGGGGGCCGAGGGAGGGCAACCCTGTCCACATAACCCAGCACTGTCTACACGCTTCCTCCCTCTTCCTGTTAGGGTCCAGCGTCACATCCACCTCTAAGAGAGGCTGGGAAATGCAGCTGTTTTCTGGGAAGCCTATACTCAACTAAAAATTCTGTGATTATGAAAGAAGAGGAAATGGACTTTTTTTTTTTTTAGATGGAGTCTCACTCTGTCGCCCAGGCTGGAGTGCAGTGGCGCGATCTCAGCTCACTGCAACCTCCACCTCCTGGGTTCAAGCATTCTTCTGCCTCAGCCTCCTGAGTAGCTGGGATTATAGGCGACTGCCACCACGCCTGGCTGATTTTTGTATTTTTAGTACAGACGGTGTTTCACCATGTTGGCCAGGCTGGTCTCCAACTCCTGATCTCAGGTGATCTACCCGCCTTGGCCTCCCAAAGTGCTGGGATTACAGGCTTGAGCCACCATGCCTGGCCCGAGGAGATGGACTTTGAGGGACAATTCAAAGTCCGCACGATCTCCCCTATTTGTTTGTCTAATTCCCTTACATCCTCAGGTCTCGGGTTTATGTCACTTCCTTGGGGAGGCCTTTCCAGACCCTCAGTGCTCCATGAGCCGCCCCCATTGCTCCCTCACGCCTCCTTCACAACACTCGCTGCGCCTGTAATTTTTGACTGACTGTCTATTTTCCCATGAGAAGGTAATTCTGTACCCATGGACTGTGCTTCCTCCCGAGGCCTGCCTGTGGAGGCACAGAGTGGATACTCGATACATCACTCTGACGGGTAGCGAGGTGCGATCCCCAGAGGGCTCTGGGAGCTCCTCGGGCAGAGCTTCACGGCTTCGGGCCACCACCAAGTCCTCTCCAACCCAGGATGTGTTTGGAAAGAAACTGGTGCCTGCTACTGCTTCCTCAGTGGTGGGCGTGCCGGCACCGTGTCCTTTTATCTGCTAGTCCTCTCTTTGTGTGGGCCTCTAGAACTGCTCAAGTCCAGCCTCAGATAGTCCGTGAGGGGGTAACTGTGCCTTTTCGTAATCTTGCTTCTCAACTCTGTTGTTCAGGATCTGGGAATGAACAGAGGGTGTTGTGGGAAGAGCTTTTCCCAGCACAGAGGCCAGAATGAAGGACACAGGGAGAGATTTGGTTTTCCATTCCCGGTCTCTATAATGCAACTAATGGGCCCGAAGCCTGCCCTGTGAAGAGGTGGGGAAGGAACCTCAGTAGAGGATGTCACCAGGGAGTTGACCCCCACCCCCTCTGTGGGGGCAGATGGCTCCCCAGGGTCTGGGCACTGTTTGGCTCCTGGGCAGCTCCCTGGTGCTCCACTTCAGTAACCTCTAGCTCACTCTGGCTTTTTTCTTTCTTTTTTTTTGAGACAGTCTCACTCTGTCGCCCAGGCTGGAGTGCAGTAGTGTGATCTTGGCTCACTGCAACCTCCACCTCCTGGGTTCAAGCAATTCTCCTGCCTCTGCCCCTGAGTAGCTGGAATTACAGGTGTGCCCCACCAGGCCCAGCTAATTTTTGTATTTTCAGGAGAGGCAGGGTTTCACCATGTTGGCCAGGTTGGTTTCAAACTCCTGACCTCAGGTGATCCACCAGCCTTGGGCTCCCAAAGTGCTGGGATTATAGGTGTGAGCCACTGCACCTGGTCTCACCCTTGTTTTGACATAAAACGCATCCTTTTCTAAGAAATCTTCTTAGCTCATTTTCTTTGTTCCGAAGAATGTCTTTTGGGAATTTCGTCAAACATGACTCTGGTTCTCGTGTTGAGTGGAGGGCTATGCCCTGGGGTTGACCTTTATCCCATTACATTCTCGGCACCCTCCATTTTTCTTTGATTTAAACTAGAGGGAAGCTTGGCTTGGGCTTGGAGCAGTCAGCTCTTTCTGGCAGTCTGCAGAGCTGCTGAAGGGGAAGTCACCAGACACCAAGCCCTGGCGGTTGCTAGGTGCTCAGGTTACACTGATACACAAAATGAGCGTATTCAAGACCCAAGTTCAAGTTTCCCTGCTTATAATTTTCTGGAGAGTCAGGGAGGGAGCAGCCATATCCTACCCACAGCCCCTGGGAACTCTGCCTCATGTCTGGCATCAAGGGAATCTTTCCTCCCAACGGTGGCACAGGACTGACCTGGGAACCCACACAATTGCAGCTTCATTCTGGCAGCTGGGGTTTTTGCCCCATAAAATGGCAGTGTCCCTTTAATTCCCTGCGGGTCTCCTCTCCGGGCTGGCAGTAGGTTAAATGGATCAACTGACCAGCCCTTTCTCACTGGGGGTTGTGGGATGGAAATTCTTCTTACTTGCTTCAGCTTGTGTCCAGGAACAAAGAACAGTTAAGCAGGGATTAACTTTTCCCTCTGTTGGTTTCTCTGTCCTTTCTCAGAAGAGTACACGTCTAATTCAGGGACATAGGTTCCTCTTGGAGCCCCACTTCTTTCCTTCCTTGACCATCCATGGAGCTATTGACTGTCCCAGCTGTTCTAGTCTTCTATACTCCCACTGTGGGGAGCAAAGTGTCTCTCTGGGTTGATTTCCCAGCGTGGCTCCTTGCAACTCTGATTTTAGCTTCACCTATTTCTCTCCAGCACATACCCTGGACTGGCCCTCTACACATTCCAAAAACTTTCTATTAGTGATGTTATTTCCCCAAGTAGCCTTCTTTTCTGAAAAGAGAATATATTGAACATCTTATACACACATTCTTGTTCTCATTGAGATTTGACAGCAAAGGGTGGTAGAAAGCGCACTGATTTGAGAGTTGGGGTTTCTGGGTTCTCATTCTACCTTTGGCATTAACTAGTGTGTGACATGGAGAAAGTCGCTTCCCTTGGCTCACGGTCCCCTCTATAAGGCCAGTGAGTCCTTCCAATGCTAACTCTCTAGTGTCTATATTGAATAATCTTGCCATCTCTTGTGGGTTTGATCAGCATTTTGTCAATCCCCATGACAAACCAGTTTCCAGTTTGGCATGTTTCTGGTGGAGCTAAGGCTGTTGGAACGTGGGAACTGGTCATGATCCATTCTTCATTCTCTCCATTGAGGGCACCCAAAATAAAAGCCAATGGTTTAACGACAGTACTCGGGATGGGGACAGCTGAGATTAGGCCCAGGACGCAACCTCCTCACACTGATATTGAGACCACAGGAGACTGTGGTATCTTGTTCTTGCGGATTCCATGACAACCTGAAGTGTCCATCTCAAAAATGTCATCCTACCACACCATATCCCTCGCCTCCTAAACTCACACCTTAGGCCAATCCTGAGGGCAGCATAGTAACTGGACATGACCCACCAACCATGCTCCAGAAGAGACATCCTGGCTGCCACAGGTCTGCACCTTCCCTGCTGAGGCAGAGCCTTCTTTCCTGAATTTGTTTGCCAAATTCATGTGTCCCCAAATGGTCCTTCTTATAGAGATGTCTGATTTGCAATCCTTACAACACCTTCATTGCTTTAAAAGAATGCAGGAATGGCTGAATAGGAACAGCTCCGGTCTACAGCTCCCAGCGTGAGCGACACAGAAGACGGGTGATTTCTGCATTTCCAACTAAGGTACCGGGTTCATCTCACTGGGAAGCGCCAGACAGTACGTGCAGGACAGTGGGTGCAGCGCACCATGTGCGAGCCAAAGCAGGGCGAGGCATCGCCTCACCCAGGAAGCACAAGGGGTCAGGGAATTCCCTTTCGTAGTCAAAGAAAGGGGTGACAGACAGCATCTGGAAAATCGGGTCACTCCCACCCTAATACTGCGCTTTTCCAACAGGCTTAAAAAACAGCACACCAGGAGATTATATCCCGCACATGGCTCCGAAGGTCCTACGCCCATGGAGTCTCGCTCATTGCTAGCACAGCAGTCCGAGATCAAACTGCAAGGCGGCAGCAAGGCTGGGGGAGGGGCGCCCGCCATTGCCCAGTTAGTTGTTTGATTAGGTAAACAAAGCGGCTGGGAAGCTCCATCTGGGTGGAGCCCATCACAGCTCAAGGAGGCTTGCCTGCCTCTGTAGGCTCCACCTCTGGGGGCAGGGCACAGACAAACAAAAAGACAGCAGTAACCTCTGCAGACTTAAATGTCCCTCTCTGACAGCTTTGAAGAGAGTAGTGGTTCTCCCAGCATGCAGCTTGAGATCTGAGAACGGGCAGACTGCCTCCTCAAGTGGGTCTTTGACCCCCGAGTAGCCTAACTGGGAGGCAACCCCCAGTAGGGGCGGACTGACACCTCACACGGCCGGGTACTCCTCTGAGACAAAACTTCCGGAGGAACAATCAGGCAGCAGCATTTGTGGCTCACCAAAATCCACTGTTCTGCAGCCACCGCTGCTGATACCCAGGCAAACAGAGTCTGGAGTGGACCTCTAGCAAACTCCAACAGACCTGCAGCTGAGGGTCCTGTTTGTTAGAAGGAAAACTAACAAACAGAAAGCACATCCACACCAAAACCCCATCTGTACATCACCATCATCAAAGACCAAAGGTAGATAAAACCACAAAGATGGGGAAAAAACACAGCAGAAAAACTGGAAACTCTAAAAATCAGAGCGCCTTTCCTCCTCCAAAGGAACGCAGCTCCTCACCAGCAACGGAACAAATCTGGACGGAGAATGACTTTGATGAGTTGAGAGAAGAAGGCTTCAGATGATCAAGCTACTCCGAGCTACAGGAGGAAATTTGAACCTATGGCAAAGAAGTTAAAAGCTTTGAAAAAAAAAATTAGACAAATGGATAACTAGAATGACCAATGCAGAGAAGTCCTTAAAGGACCTGATGGAGCTGAAAACCAAGGCACGAGAGCTACATGACAAATGCAGAAGCCTCAGTAGCCGATGCGATCAACTGGAAGAAAGGGTATCAGTGATGGAAGACAAAATGAATGAAATGAAGCAAGAAGAGAAGTTTAGAGAAAAAAGAATAAAAAGAAACGAACAAAGCCGCCAAGAAATATGGGACTATGTGAAAAGACCAAATCTACGTCTGATTGGTGTACCTGAAAGTGACGGGGAGAATGGAACCAAGTTGGAAAATACCCTGCAGGATATTATCCAGGAGAACTTCCCCAATCTAGCAAGGCAGACCAACATTCAGATTCAGGAAATACAGAGAACGCCACAAAGATACTCCTCGAGAAGAGCAACTCCAAGACACATAATTGTCAGATTCACCAAAGTTGAAATGAAGGAAAAAATGTTAAGGGAAGCCAGGGAGAAAGGTTGGGCTACCCACAAAGGGAAGCCCATCAGACTAACAGCTGATCTCTTGGCAGGAACTCTACAAGCCAGAAGAGAGTGGGGACCAATATTCAACATTCTTAAAGAAAAGAATTTTCAACCCAGAATTTCACATCCAGCCAAACTAAGCTTCATAAGTGAAGGAGAAATAAAATACTTTACAGACAAGCAAATGCTGAGAGATTTTGTCACCACCAGGCCTGCCCTAAAAGAGCTCCTGAAGGAAGCACTAAACATGGAAAGGAACAACCCATACCAGCCACTGCAAAAACATGCCAAATTGTAAAGACCATCAAGGCTAGGAAGAAACTGCATCAACTAACGAGCAAAATAACCAGCTAACATCATAATGACAGGATCAAATTCACACATAACAATATTAACTTTAAATGTAAATGGCCTAAATGCTCCAATTAAAAGACACAGACTGGCAAATTGGATAAAGAGTCAAGACCCATCAGTGTGCTGTATTCAGGAAACACATCTCACCTGCAGGGACACACATAGGCTCAAAATAAAGCGATGGAGGAAGATCTACCAAGCAAATGGAAAACAAAAAAAAGGCAGGGGTTGCAACCTAGTCTCTGATAAAACAGACTTTAAACCAACAAAGATAAAAAGAGATAAAGAAGGCCATTACATAATGGTAAAGGATCAATTCAACAAGAAGAGCTAACTATCCTAAATATATATGCACCCAATACAGGAGCACCCAGATTCATAAAGCAAGTCCTTAGTGACCTACAAAGAGACTTAGACTCCCACACAATAATAATGGGAGACTTTAACACCCTACTGTCAACATTAGACAGATCAATGAGACAGAAAATTAACAAGGATACCCAGGAATTGAACTCAGCTCTGCACCAAGCGGGCCTAATAGACATCTACAGAACTCTCCATCCCAAATCAACAGAATATACATTCTTTTCAGCACCACACCACACCTACTCCAAAATTGACCACATAGTTGGAAGTAAAGCACTCCTCAGCAAATGTATATTATAACAAACTGTCTCTCAGACCACAGTGCAATCAAACTAGAACTCAGGATTAAGAAACTCACTCAAAACCGCTCAACTACAAGGAAACTGAACAACCTGCTTCTGAATGACTACTGGGTAAATAATGAAATGAAGGCAGAAATAAAGATGTTCTTTGAAACCAACGAGAACAAAGACACAACATACCAGAATCTCTGGGAAACATTCAAAGCAGTGTGTAGAGGGAAATATATAGCACTAAATGCCCACAAGAGAAAGCAGGAAAGATCTAAAATTGACACCCTAATATCACAATTAAAAGAACTAGAAAAGCAAGAGCAAACGCATTCAAAAGCTAGCAGAAGGCAAGAAATAACTAAGATCAGAGCAGAACTGAAGGAAATAGAGACACAAAAAACCCTTCAAAAAATTAATGAATCCACGAGCTGGTTTTTTGAAAGATCAACAAAATTGATAGACCGCTAGCAAGACTAATAAAGAAGAAAATAGAGAAGAATCAAATAGACGCAATAAAAAATGATAAAGGGGATATCACCACCGATCCCACAGAAATACAAACTACCATCAGAGAATATTATAAACACCTCTACACAAATAAACTAGAAAATCTAGAAGAAATGGATAAATTCTTCAACACATACACCCTCCCAAGACTAAACCAGGAAGAAATTGAGTCTCTGAATAGACCAATAACAGGATCTGAAATTGAGGCAATAATCAATAGCTTACCAACCAAAATAAGTCCGGGACCAGATGGATTCACAGCCGAATTCTACCACAGGTACAAAGAGGAGCTGGTACCATTCCTTCTGAAACTATTCCAATCAATATAAAAAGAGGGAATCCACCCTAACTCATTTTATGAGGCCAGCATCATCCTGATAACAAAGCCTGGCAGAGACACAACCAAAAAAGAGAATTTTAGACCAATATCCTTGATGAACATCGATGCAAGAATCCTCAATAAAATACTGGCAAACCAAATCCAGCAGCACATCAAAAAGCTTATCCACCATGATCAAGTGGGCTTCATCCCTGGGATGCAAGGCTGGTTCAATATATGCAAATCAATAAATGTAATCCAGCATATAAACAGAACCAAAGACAAAAACCACATGATTATCTCAATAGATGCAGAAAAGGCCTTTGACAAAATTCAACAACCCTTCATGCAAAAAACTCTCAATAAATTAGGTATTGATGGGACATATCTCAAAATAATAAGAGCTATCTATGACAAACCCACAGCCAACATCATACTGAATGGGCAAAAACTGGAAGCATTCCCTTTGAAAATGGGCACAAGACAGGGATGCCCTCTCTCACCACTCCTATTCAACATAGTGTTGGAAGTTCTGGCCAGGGCAATCAGGCAGGAGAAGGAAATGAAGGGTATTCAATTAGGAAAAGAGGAAGTCAAATTGTCCCTGTTTGCAGATGACATGATTGTATATCTAGAAAACCCCACTGTCTCAGCCCCAAATCTCCTCCAGCTGATAAGCAACTTCAGCAAAGTCTCAGGATACAAAAATCAACATACAAAAATCACAAGCATTCTTATACACCAATAACAAACAGAGAGCCAAATCATGAGTGAACTCCCATTCACAATTGCTTCAAAGAGAATAAAATACCTAGGAATCCAACTTAGAAGGGATGTGAAGGACCTCTTCAAGGAGAACTACAAACCACTGCTCAATGAAATAAAAGAGGATACAAACAAATGGAAGAACATTCCATGCTCATGGGTAGGAAGAATCAATATCGTGAAAATGGCTATAGTGCCCAAGGTAATTTATAGATTCAATGCCATCCCCATCAAGCTACCAATGACTTTCTTCACAGAATTGGAAAAAACTACTTTAAAGTTCATATGGAACCAAAAAAGAGCCCGCATTGCCAAGTCGATCCTAAGCCAAAAGAACAAAGCTGGAAGCATCATGCTACCTGACTTCAAACTATACTACAAGGCTACAGTAACCAAAACAGCATGGTACTGGTACCAAAACAGAGATATAGACCAATGGAACAGAACAGAGCCCTCAGAAATAATGTCACATATCTACAACTATCTGATATTTGACAAACCTGAGAAAAACAAGCAATGGGGAAAGGATTCCCTATTTAATAAATGGTGCTGGGAAAACTGGCTAGCCATGTGTAGAAAGCTGAAACTGGATCGCTTCCTTACACCTTATACAAAAATTAATTCAAGATGGATTAAAGACTTAAATGTTAAAACTAAAACCATAAAAACCCTAGAAGAAAACCTAGGCAATACCATTCAGGACACAGGCATGGGCAAGGACTTCATGTCTAAAACACCAAAAGCAATGGCAACAAAAGCCAAAATTGACAAATGGGATCTAATTAAACTAAAGAACTTCTGCACAGCAAAAGAAACTACCATCAGAGTGAATAGGCAACCTACAGAATGGGAGAAAATTTTTGCAACCTACTCATCTGACAAAGGGCTAATATCCAGAATCTACAATGAACTCAAACAAATTTACAAGAAAAAAAAAACAACCCCATCAAAAAGTGGGCAAAGGATATGAACAGACACTTCTCAAAAGAAGACATTTATGCAGCCAAAAAACACACGAAAAAGTGCTCATCATTACTGGCCATCAGAGAAATGCAAATCAAAACCACAATGAGATACCATCTCACACCAGTTAGAATGGTGATCATTAAAATGTCAGGAAACAACAGGTGCTGGAGAGGATGTGGAGAAATAGGAATACTTTTACACTGTTGGTGGGACTGTAAACTAGTTCAACCATTGTGGAAGTCAGTGTGGCGATTCCTCAGGGATCTAGAACTAGAAATACCATTTGACCCAGCCATCCCATTACTGGGTATATACCCAAAGGATTATAAATCATGCTGCTATAAAGACACATGCACACGTATGTTTATTACGGCACTATTCACAATAGCAAAGACTTGGAGCCAACCTAAATGTCCAACAACGATAGACTGGATTAAGAAAATGTGGCACATATACACCATGGAACACTATGCAGCCATAAAAAATGATGAGTTCATGTCCTTTTTAGGGGCATGGATGAAACTGGAAACCATCATTCTCAGCAAACTATCGCAAGGACGAAAAACCAAACACCTCATGTTCTCACTCATAGGTGGGAATTGAACAATGAGAACACATGGACACAGGAAGGGGAACATCACATACCAGGGACTGTTGTGGGGTGGGGGGAGAGGGGAGGGATAGCATTAGGAGATATACCTAATGCTAAATGAGGAGTTAATGGGTGCAGCACACCAACATGGCACATGTATACATATGTAACTAACCTGCACGTTGTGCACATGTACCCTAAAACTTAAAGTATAATAATAATAAAATTAAAAAAAACAAAGAATGCAGGAGATATCTCCTTCTAATTACATTTACAGCTCACTTTCTCTCCTATAGCAAACAGACCCAGGTGTTGTCTTTTTTTTTTTTGACTTGCAAATATTTCGGATTTGTTTGGACAGCAGATTTCTTTCCAGGTTTTTGGAACGCTGAAGTCACTGACACATGGCTATGGAGATATACTGTAGCTGAGTGCAAACATCCCTGATTCCTAGTACAGTCAAACCTGCGTTTTAGGCCATGGTGGGTACAGGGAGGGATGAGCCTGACGTGGAACTGTCCCGGGGGCTGCCGAGAATGGCACTTTTCTGTCTGCAGAGACCTTGAAGAGGAGATCTGAACAAGGTGTATCATCATTTGTCTTGAGCCCTCTCACTCCCCACCTCTCCCCTTACCCTGTCCCAGGGACAGGCTGATTCTACTTCAGATCTCTATTCAGCATTGTTCCCCTTTTGGGAATAGTAATGGAACAGCCTAGATCCCGGGGCATCGTCCTGCCAAATTTCTAGTCTGAGTCTAGCCCCACTTACCATTAGGCTCCCATTAGCCTGTTAGGCCCTCTTATCTAAAGGGCACATATGAAGCAAGACGCAGTCTGGGGAGAACTGGCTGCCAAAGCCAGACACCTTGGGATCCTGCTCATTATTGTGACCTCCCTCATCCCTGAGTTAAAGTCTTAATCTGTGCATACTCGGTGGAAACTTATTTGTCCAAAGTTGTTTGTCTATGTTATTGCTTTAGGGCCTCCAAAGATCTGGCCAAGTTAGGTGGCATTAGAACAAGTATCTTGGCTGGGCGCAGTGGCTCATGCCTGTAATCCCAGCACTTTGGGAGGCTGAGGCTGGCAGATCACGAGGTCAGGAGATCGAGACCATCCTGGCCAACATGGTGAAACCCTGTCTCTACTAAAAATACAAAAATTAGCCAGGTGTGGTGGTGCGTACCTGTAGTCCCAGCTACTAGAGAGGCTGAGGCAGGAGAATCCCTTGAACCTGGCAGGTGGAGGTTGCAGTGAGCCAAGATCGTATCACTGCACTCCAGCCTGGTGACAGAGCAAGACTCCATCTCAAAAAAAAAAAAAAGAGCAAGTATCTCTATTTTTGTTCTCTTCCTGTGCAACTTGGTTGCACTATATAGTTGTACCTTTCTGTTGGTTTTATTTGATTCCAAGAGTGATGATCTTAAGTTTTATATAAATATTAAATATTAAATTTGCCTGCTTGGTGTGCAAGCAAAACCTCTAATCATTAATTTTGGTCAAGTTTAAAACAGAGATTCCCATTTATGGCGCACGTCGGTATAAACACGGCAGCTTTATAAAAATTCCCATGCCTGAGGCCCATCCCCCCAAAATCTATTTTAATTGATTTGGAGTAGGGCCTGGGTATTGATTTTTTTTCTTTTGTTTTTAAAAAGCTCCCTGATGATTCTGTTTGCAGCCAGAATTGAGAGCCGTTGTTCTGAATGATGCCTGAGAAGAGTGTTAATCTGGCGTGTGTCGGGGCAAGGGGAGGCACGGTCGAGGGAGGTGTTAAACTGAGTTGGCTGACTTGTTTTGTCTGTCTTCAGCCCAGTAGCTGGACAGGAACAAAGTCAAGACTACAGTGCAGTTATGTAAGGCTTGAGGATAAGCCTCTTCCACTAAAACTGACTCATTACTGTGTGTATATTCCATTTAAAGCAATCTAGAGCAATAATGTGGAAATACTGGGTGAGAGCCACGTTTTGTGAATATGGTTAGGGCCCAATAATGGTCAATAATCATTCTATGACCAGAATGGAGAAGTGACAGTAAAAAAGAACTCTCCCATTTAAAATAATCTGCACTGGAAATGCCCCAGTGTTTCTCGTAATACCGGCTGATACTGAGCCCAGTAACACACTCATATTGCCTTGAATTTCAAGACAGCACTGTGGTGATCTCTGATGATTCGAGGCTCACATTTTGCCATCTCTTGCACCCGAGCTGAACTTCTGGCTCAGTGTGTCTGAAGGCAGAGTGGGAAGACAATTCAGGTAGCAGAGAAGTGAACAAAGGACATTCCCTGAATAGGCGAATTCAAGCTCGTTAGCAGTTAGTTAGCCTGGAATGAGGCTGATCATCTGTCGGCGGAATTTTTCAGGAGCTGCAAATGGTTGGAATCTTTGTTTTCCTTTTCCTGGGAAAGAGAGGTCCATTAGCTCTCCAGCTGCATTAGAGCTTAATTTATTTTGTTTTGTTTTGGTTTTTAACACTGTAGAGGGGACAGTACATTCCAAATGTTAGAGGACAGCTAAGGGAGATTCGTCCTCTTTAGAGGGTATCATTAAGCATATGGTGCCTCACAGGGATGGGGAAGGCAGTGCACAGGCAGGAGCCAAGACAGGGATTAGCTCATAGAAGGCGGCTGGCTGGATATAGGAAGAGCTGCCAGGTAAAGGGACCCAAGCTTGGGACTTAAAGCTCAGGTCTAGTCGTGTTTTTAAAGAGTTGTCATCTTTCAAACATACAAGGGTAAAGATTTAGGAACTGCCCTCAGGAATGAGATGCATGAAACTCACAGACAAACCGAAATCCCAGAATCTTTGGTACCTAGTGGACATTTCCCTGGGGCTGACTCCTGGGCGGGGTGTCTGCTGCCCTCCACTAACAGCCAGGGAGCCCAGCCCTTGGTATAGGATTCCTGGGCAGGGTGTCTGCTGCCCTCCACTAACAGCCAGGGAGCCCAGCCCTTGGTATAGGAGTACAGGCTGAAGTGCCCAGGGGTTTACCCGATCCCACAGTTTTAGAGGCAAGAAGCTGACATTTAAGGCTTGAATAGTGCTCCTTTTCTAAGTAAATGACAACCTGGAGAAAGGTCTAACTGAGCCAGGTGTTCGACATTTTCAAACTGACTTTCTTTTCAAAGAGACCTGGAAGATTGACTCCCATCGTACTCTCTCCCAGCCTCCCGGTGGAAAGGGAGTCCCTAGTCCCATTGTGGCTCCAGAATGTGACAAAGGCACAGGCACAGGCTCAGCTTGGCTTAGCCTGCTGTCCCTTCCCGAAGGCTGTGTCTTCAGTGGGATGAGAAAGACTTTGGCAGAGGCTTTTAGGCTATGAACAGGCCAGGTGCATTTAGTCAGCAGTGTAAGCTAATACCAGAAAAGATGAAGTAGAGAAAGGCGCTGTGAAATTGCCACCTGAGGCAGAACCATATGAGGCTGAATCCAGGGGAGACCCTGTTTCTCATGGCCCTTGCCTGATGGTCATGATAAATTAAATACAAACACCTACCCATATGCTAGAAATTGATTTCAACTCCTTTACCAAATAAGCAAAATATCGGCATCGATTATGTATAGTTAGATCTCTGTTTGCCAATCAATCTTCTTCTGCAATCCCCGATCTGCGCTAGACAGAGCAAACCCCTTCTCTGTGCCACCTGAGCAGTGCTTTAGTTGGACTCTGCTATGCTCACTGCTTCGGACAGGGAAAGTGACTCTCCCAGGCTACAGTGGACCTGTAACTTACTCATCTTGCATCCTCAGCAGTGGAAGGCTCTTGGTGAACGTCAATGGAATGAACCTGTGTGTGCATGTAGTCCATCTATTATCTCTAATAAACACTGAAAGCCAAAGAACAAGGATGGAGTAATCAGGAAACAGAGAGAGAGGTATCATCAGGTAACCAGGAGGAGTAATCAGGAAATAGAGAGAGAGGTATCATCAGGTAACCAGGAGGTAGAGGCGTAAGGTTGAAACATATGAAATCATTCATAGCCAGTTAGTTTCTCTTCTAACTGACCTTCTAAGTGACCTTCTAAGTGACCTTCTCCTGGTCACCTCACTCCCCACATCCCCAAAGGAGGAAGTGCAGTGGACAGGTGTTGGCTGAGAGTCCAGAGGACCTGGATCAAGAGTCAGGAGGGTGGGCTTCTCTCTAATTGAACGTGTGGCTTGGAGTCAGTTCCTCTCCTTTTCTGGGCTTCAGTTTCCCCTTCTCTAGAAGAAGAATAGACTAGGTGGCCTCTCAAAGTCTTTACAGCTCTGATATTTTGTAATTTTATGTATCTAATGCTATAATTCCAAAGTATTAAAGAAAAGGGCAGTGCCCCATGGTTTGAGGGGCAGAGACTATAGCACAGATTGCACCAAACCCTGAATTTACCCAGCAGCCTTTGGCCCTGGAGGACCTAAGTGAGTTTCAGCCTGAAAACACTCAGTGTTTCCAATGCCAGACCCCAGCTGCACAAAATAGGAAAAATCTTGTTAGGAAATGACCACAGTCCCCTAGAGCTGTGGAAAACATTGCCTCAGACAAAAAGGACTTTTCCATTGGGAAAAAAAAATCAGCAGTATTGTGTCTGCTGATGCTGTCTGCCCAGGCGGTTCTCATCGAGTCCTGCCTACTCAGGTCCCTGGCTCTGGGGCAGTTCTTTTCCACTTCATGTTGGTCCTAATGGTAAATGCAGGTTGTTCTCCTCTTCTGGCCCCAACTGTCCCAGGAATCAGACTTGGAAGTCATTTTAAAATTCATCTTTGGACTGTCTGACTTTTCAATACTTCCTCCAGAGGCAAAAATCACAAAATGCTTTCACCGCAATGGGTCTCAGAAGTTATCTCGTGATACCTATTTAATCCCCTGTCTGTGGAGGAACATGACGTCCCAGGTAGGGAAGTGCATTGCTCAAGGTCACATAGAGAGGTCAGGGGACCTGGTCCTGAGCCCAGTTCAGGGTTCTTTCCATTTCCAAGCTGTCTCTAGCCACAGGGCCAATTCTCTTCTACCTTCCCACAGCAGATGTTTCCCAACCAACCAACTAGCCAACCAGCTAACCAACCTGCAAGTATTTCCTATAAGCCTTGGACTGTGCATTCTCTGATGCTCTGCTGTAAACGATTATTTTTTTACTGTTCCAAAATGCAGCAGTAAAGAGTAAGCACTCACCTTTGGGGGCAGAGCAGAACTGGCCTGCTTCTTTGAGTCCTGCTTCGATTTCTGGAGCTTAAACATAGTGTCCCATCATTCCTTGAAGACATGCAGCTGCTAAGAAAGAGTTGCATATTTGTAAGTGGGGGCCAGTGAGAGATGTCTGGTCAGACCCCAGTTCTGGGGCGGGGTGGCTTTGGTCTGAGTGGTGGTCAGACCTATGCAGGAAGCCGCACCAGGCAGAGAGGAGGCCTCGGCCCGCCCAGGTTCCCACCCAGGTGTCCACCCTGGTGCAGTCCCCTCTGTCTGCCACCACGAGGACCTCTTCCTGAGGTTCCAAAGTTGAGCCGAGTGTAGTCCTTGCCCAGTCGATGCTTTCTGGGCTCACTCTCTCAAAAAGGAAGTAGCCCCTTTTATTCTTAGACCACCACAGATGCAGACAAAGCCCGGATTTTAAAGAGGAAATTTCTACTAAAATAAAATAGAAAATAAACAAAACCTAGATAAGATTATATTTATAGACTATAATTTTCTAAATAAAATGTAAAATGCACATTTATGGTAGAAAACGTGGAAATATATGTTTTAAGAATTCATAAGCCCACCCATCGCCTAGCCCAGTGCCGCCTCTGACACGGTAGCAAGTAAGCATGCGCTGCTCCCGAGCATTGGAAATGCGGCTGATCTGAACGGAGATGCACTGTAAGTATAAAATATACACCGGAGTGGAAGATTTAGTTCAAAAAATGTAAAATATCTCATTAATACTTTCAAAAATACTCATTACATGCCTGAGATGATAACATTCTGGATATATTGGACAATACATAATTTTTTTTTTTTTTTAGAGTCCAGTGGCATGATCTTGGCTCACTGCAACATCTGCCTCCCAGGTTCAAGCAATTCTCCTACCTCAGACTCCCGAGTAGCTGGGATTACAGGCATCCGCCACCACACCCAGCTAATTTTTGTATCTTTAGTAGAGACAGGGTTTCGCCACGTTGGTCACGCGGTCTCAAACTCCTGACCTCAGATGATTCACCCGTCCTCGGCCTCCCAAAGTGCTGGGATTACAGGTGTGAGTCACTGCACCCATCCAGCCAACAAATATATTATTAAAATTAATTTGACCTGTTCCTTTTTACTGTTTTCAGAAGCTACTAAAAACCGTAAAATCATATATATGACTCACATCACATGTCTGTTGGACGGCCCTGACCAAGAGAAACCACGGATAACATTCTGGCGCACCTGCTCCATTGTGGGGTGTATGTATTTGACGAGTCTGGCTCCTGGTCAAACACCTATGTGTGATTTTTCAGGTCTGACTGCAAGCAATGGCAGAGGCTTGACCTGGCAGCCCTCCTGGGGAAGCTCCCCTCCCCACACCAGACCTGGTGCCCAGCCAGCACACAGGAGGCTCTGAGGGGAGTTAAGGACTCAGCCCTGCTATGCTATGCTCTTCACATATTTGCATTCCTAGCCCAGTGTCTTCATTCCTAAATCTCTTTCTCTGAGGCCTTCGGCTGAGGTTTTTTTTCAGGTGCCTCTTCCGAGGCCTCTTTACCAGGGGGAGGAGGGCGAACCCTGAAGACATGCTTCCCCACTCTGAATCAGCACCCAGGATTTTTCCACTCTACCCCACACCCCGACCCCAGGGTCCATAAAACTGCTGGAGCCTTTGGTTGGGGGCTCCCTCAACAGTGCAATGTCCGCCACATCTGCACGGATCCACCTGACCCTTGAACGGTGCACTGTTTCATGGGGAAAATGAAACAGGAGAGCCAGCGGCTTCTCTGGCTTTAGCCTCCTGTTTATATTAACACTGTTATAGCAAGTGATTAAAGGCTGCACTGTTACTTTTTTTTTTTTGGCTCATTCTTGCTGTGATGGGCTACTCTGACACCTGACAGCTCAGCTCTCTCTCCCAGCTTAGCAGAACTCCCAACAGTATTTTTTAAATTTTTTTGGGGGGGCTGGACAGAGTCTCACTCTGTTGCCCAGGCTTGAGGGCAATAGCGCAATCTTGGCTCACTGCAACCTCCACCTCCCAGGTTCAAGTGATTCTCCTGTGTCCGCCTCCTGAGTAGCTGGGATTACAGGCACCTGCCACCACGCCCAGCTAATTTTTGTAATTTTAGTAGAGATGGAATTTTGCCATATTGGCCAGGCTGGTCTTGAACTCCTGACCTCAAGTGATCCGCCTGCCTCAGCCTCCCAAAGTGCTGGGATTACAGGCATGAGCCACAGCGCCCAGCCCTCCCAACAGTATTTTTAAAAACAAAACAGTAATCATATTGAAATACAATTATATCTGTATCAGTCAGGATCCCAACAGGAGACAAATGGCACTGTCAAGTTAGGGTAACTCAGGGAGGTTTTATTTATAAAAAGCTAACTAATAATAAACTTAAGGTTGGAGTGTAGGAGAACGAAAAAAATAGCTCAGAACCTCAGGGCTGGCGGCGGCAGACCTATGACCATCCCTAAGTCCTAAGGGACCCGAGGAGGGATGGGCTCCCAGAACCAGGAAAGCGAGGCAGCTGTGCTTAGGACCCGAGGAGGGATGGGCTCCCAGAACCAGGAAAGAGAGGCAGCTGTGCTCAGGACCCGAGGAGGGATGGGCTCCCAGAACTAGGAAAGAGAGGCAGCTGTGCTCAGGACCCGAGGAGGGATGGGCTCCCAGAACCAGGAAAGAGAGGCAGCTGTGCGGAGCTGGGGGGCACTTAAAGGAAGAAAACGACCAGCCCAGGGCACGGGCATAGGAATGCAGCCAGGGAAATAAGCACCCTGGAGTCCCTTTTCTCCTTCCCCCTGATTTGCTAAGGCTCTTCATTGGCTGAATCCAGTCAGAAGCTGGAGGAGATGGAGTCCCTGTTGCCCTAGTCCTCTTTCAGTGCAGGAGGCAATGGAGGTGGCCGGAGATGGGAGTAGGAGGATGGGGTGAATCTATACAGGCAAAGAGCTGACTGTGACCAGCCTGGACAACACGTCGAAAACCCGTCTCTACTAAAAATACAAAAACTAGGCAGGTGTCGGGAGGCTGAGGCAGGAGAATCACTTGAACCCAGGAGGCGGAGGTTGCAGTGAGCCAAGATCGTGCCATGGCACTCCAGCTTGGGCGACAAGAGTGAAACCCCATCACAAAAATTAGCCAGGCATGGTGGCGCGCCTGTAATCCCAGCTACTTGGGACGATGGGGCAGGAGAATCACTTGAACCCAGGAGGTGGAGATTGCAGTGAGCCGAGATCGAGCCACTGCACTCCAGCCTGGGCGACAGAGCGACAGAGGGAGACTCCATCTCAAAAAACAAACAAACAAACAAAGAGCTGTCCGCACTTCTGCACTTTTTCCTTGCAGCATTGCCCTAAGTCGTAGCCTAATTGCCCTATTTCCTTGTTAATGTAACAAGTCTTAGTCCCTACGGTGACCGAGTGGGCGCAATTTACCAAACACCCCACCCAATGCCTCTATCCTGTCTGGGTTTCTAGCCTGAGCTAGATTCAGAGGGCACTATCTGATGGGGTGTGTCTGCACACACACATGCACGCGTATTGTACTCTTAGTCCCTATCAGAATACGCTTCCTTCAGTCTTAGCGGTGGGTGTGAGCCCCCGGGCCTCTGTGTCTCTAGCCTTGTAGAGCTCATCCACTGTGTCTTCGATGGGCTGCTTCCTTTGAATCCTGCCCTCATTTCCACTGTCCTCAGCCTCTGCTTTATTGAGATGAGTCCCACACCTCCCACCCACTCCACCCCACTCCTTGCTGGCTAAGCACAAGTGCCTGGTACCCTCCAAAAAAATCGTTAGTCTACGAAAAAGGGGGAATCTGGAAAAGATGGGAGTGACCTCTGTAAGCTAAGATTTCCAGAGCTAAGTGCACTCCCCTGGGAGAGCACGCAGACCTCCACTCCCTAATTGAGTCTTCAATTGTCTAGTTTAAGTTTGCTGGAAAATTAGATGAAAAAACTCCCCAGGCTTCACACTCCTGGAGCCAAGGGCCGGGAGAAGGAAGGTTGCACAGACTCTTGTCGTCTACATAAAAGGCAAGGGGGTGCTGAGCTGGGGCTGAGATCCACCAAAGACCAGGTCAGGGTTTAAGGGTGAGTTGGGGGACCTGTGCTCAGGGACAAGGAGGCTCATTTGCACAGGAAGAAGGAGCCTAAGAGAGGGGCATAGAAAACACTGAGAGAAGGTAATGCTGTGGCAGGGATGTGGCGAGCAGAAGGGAGTCGTTTTATAGAACAGGAAACAATCTGTTGCGGGGATTATTATACCTCCTGAGGAAGAAAAGGCAATTTAATTTTTTGGGAGAAGGCGATTGGAGTGTAAACTGACGAGGATGCCGTCTGAAAGAGCATTCATTCTCTGCTTGTCAAGACTCTGGAAATGCAGAGGGCCCCGGTATCCTACCAGAAGCAAGCCCCAGGGTGCAAGCAAGTCTTTCTGGCTGGAAGGAAGGTGCAGGCGCAGCAGTGATGTCCTTCCAGCACTGTGCCTGGCACAAGTGGGCGCCCAGCATGTTCATGCCCACCTGGCTGTTGCTGTCTGCCCTGTCACCCGCATCCACATCAGATGCATCTCCAGACTCCTTCATTCATTCCCTCATTCGTTCACTTGTCTGACAAATGCTTACGGAGCTCCTTGCTCTGTGCTGAGCATAGCGCTAGGCACCGAAGGAGATGAAAGAAAAATAAGTTAGGGTTTTCACCTCCGGAGAGCTGATAGTCTAGTGGAGAAGCAAACCAATGAACACATTTCTAAGTCTCCAACGCAGTCAAGGACGGCGACAGGGAAGAGCTCGATGTGATGGTGTAAGGACTAAGGAGGGGTTGAGAAGGCTTCTCTTACAAGTGGAGAGCCGAGAAAAAAAAAAAACAGGGACTGAAAGAAAGTCCTAAGAAGGAGGAAGAGAATTAGAGGAGATTTATTCCCCTAGTCCAGTAGGCAGAAGCTCAGCAAATATTTTTTGGCCCACACCCAATAAAAATTGAATCCATAAATCATAAAGATTTAATAATTAGTCTTGTGAATCCTGTGACGAATACAGCTTTTCTCTTGAATTTATGGAGGAAGATGGAGTTTCCGTGTTCAGTTTTCCATGGATAAGGATAAGGGACCCTGGGTTCCCTTTGTGTTCCCCACTCCCCTAGGGACGGTCCTTGAGCAGCTGCGGAAGAGTGTACGGATCTGAGGAACTGGTAACAGTGAAGAGCTGTGGAATGATCCCTGGGTGGGGAGTCCAAGTTTCCAAGCCAGGGCGACTGAGAAATTGCCAACCACAGTTCAGGGTCTTTGAAGCATTCCTGAGTAAGAACCTGAGAAGCCGGTCCCGCTAGGCCTTGAGATTTCTCTTGGATGGGAGGCCTTTGCTTCTGTCTCCCTTGTCCAGCTTCACCCTCTGGTTTAGACTCAAATTTGCCTCCTCCACCTGGGAAATCTGCTCCCCCTGGAATGGGGCTCAGAGCACCTCCCATTCCCAGTCCCTCCACCCTGTCATAATCCGCTTCCTGGATGTCTAGCAAAATACCCCCACCTAAGGCAGAACTGGCATGGCTCCAGGATCCACTTCTGTTAAGCTCAGAGGAATCTGGCCACAGCAGAAATAATGGCCTCTAAAAAGTAGTCCCTTTTTCTTTTTTTCTTTTTTTCTTTTTTTTTTTTTTTTGAGACAGAGTTTCACTCTTGTTGCCCAGGCTGGAGTGCAATGACGCGATCTCGGCTCACTGCAACCTCTGCCTTTCAGGTTCAAGTGATTCTCCTGCCTTAGCCTCCCTAGTAGCTGGGATTACAGGCACTCGCCACCACGCCCAGCTAATTTTTTGTATTTTTAGTAGAGAGAGGTGTTCACTATGTTGACCAGGCTGGTCTCAAACTCCTCACCTCAGGCAATCCACCCGCCTCAACCTCCCAAGTGCTGGGATTACAGGTGTGAGCCACCATGCCCAGCTAGAAGTCTGTTTTTCTAATATATCCTCCCATTCTCTTTCCCACAGGACTGGGCCCACTGGCCTTCCCACTGTCATTCACCACCACCAGCCCTTTGAGAGCCTGCCATTCTGGAACCTTCTTTTCCAGCCACAGTCTTAAGATGATGAGCAACCTCTGCAGAAAGAATGTAAAGTTACAACACGCACACAGATCCCATCAAGATGAGAGTGAGTGGAGATGATGCCCTATTTCCAAGCAGCTCAGAGTGCATGTGTGCCAGACACGAGCGGACTGCCGGAGATAGCTGACACAGATCCGAGGACACAGAAGGAGGCTCTTTAAAAAGCCAGAGCAACAGCTAGCATGTGAGAGGTCTGATTAATCCACCAAGGGCTTATCTATGCATCAACAAACAGCGATGGTCTGTGTCTTGTTCCCTGGATACTTCCTGGCTCATGCAAGACACTCGGTATTTATTTGTTAGATGAGCGATAAATACATGAATACTTAGACTCATTTGTCTCAAATTGCCTGAGGTTTTAACTACCCCAACCAGATATTTTGGAATCATAAACACCCAGGCATTGAATATTTAAATACATATGCAAACACCTGGAGTTCACTAATTTCCTTGTGATTTGTCCCCTGGGAGGCTGTGCACCGCTAGGCAGAGAATGGAAGAAAATCTCTGGTGCTTGTTGATAATCACAGAGAAAGATGAACTTGTGGTATATGTGTATGATAGTGTGTAGCCAAGGACAGGAAAAACGAGACAATGATTCTGTAATGGAAAAAAATCTCAAGTCTTCAATATTTGTCTTTACGAGGACTCCCCTGATCAGCTCCTGTGAGCAGGGCCCCATCCCTTGCTGTCAGTATCAGCCTCCAGGAACCTGCTGTAAGTTTAAATGGGCCCTCCAGTTCTCAAGAGGTTGCTGTCCACTTTCCCAGCCCTGGGACCCTCGCATATGGCTGTCGGTGACTTGTGCAGGAATTTAGTTCTGTCGCCATCTCACCGCAAGAAAGAATGTCCTAACTGTCCAGCAGATGCTGGTTGTCCCCACTCGGAGACAATGATGGACTGGGTAATTCTGTAATTGGGCTAGACCTGCTGCCGACCCACTCTCTGGGCCCCATGGCTCAATGTTGGCTAAGGGAGTAGTGGATTCTGCTTCCACCTTAGTGAGGGCCAAAGATGCTGGAGAAGGAGGTAGGTACCAAGAATCATAGAACAAAGGTGCTTATTAGACAAGGAAGAGATTGCTCCACGTGACTCCAGTGGGCTTGGAATGGGCCTGGGTGGCAGCTGAAATGTGACAGATGCCAGGCAAGCTTTCCAGCTTCACAGAGATCTGACTTAGCCTTCCAGCTGATGCACACGCAGGGGAAGCCAGGGCTGTGGCAGGAAAAGGGGCGTTCCCAGGGTGTGGCAACTAGTGCGGCTTGGGGACAGGGCTGTTCACAGCTATGCTGCTTGAGAGAGCAGGGCTCACTGAGCAAGGAGAAGGGCGGTGGCTACAACCAGCCACATTGAAAAGACGCTTGCTTCTCCTAAATCACAAACTTTCCCTCAACACTGGCGGGAAGCTGTTTATATTTCCCAGCAAAAGACTGAGCAGAGTTTAAGATGAACAACAGATTGCAAACTTTCCTTCTCTTTGAGTGGTGATGGAGGTGGGAGGGGATAGAGACGTGTGGAAACACACAGAGATACAGCCATGATGAATCAGTTTGTCTGCGAAGTATTTGACCACACACATTAAACAAATTGGAAATTAGCAGTCAGCTCTAACATCTCTTTATACCCAAGTGACAAAACTCAGACAATTAAGCTTCTGTTTCTCTGACGTTTTAACAGCAGGAAATAAAAATCTAGCAATAATAGACAGCAAATTCCTTCTTTTGTCTGGAGGGCAGGGGAATGGGGAATAAAAATATATCTTGTACCTTCATCATTTAATAGATTTTAGTGGAATTACCAGGCCAGAAAGTATCCTATTACATGGAAAGAAACAGACTGGGTTTCCAGTTTATTACTAACTTAGGGATCGCTGCATGATTTGAGCTGATGTTTTCTTTTTCTTTTTTCTTTCTCCTTTTTTAATGAAAACGAAAGTCCTTTGTGTGCAGTCTCTCTGAACTTTCAGAACAATGTAAGAACTTTAAGAACAATGTTCTTAAGTCACACGATTCCTTCGGGGACACACGAAGCGCACTTCTAAACCCATAATCCTGGGCTATAAAAAGGATCTGGGGCGGGTGATCAAAGGTGAACTGCCCATTTACAACCTCTCTTTCAAGCCCCCTTCCCATCTCCCTGACAGTTTTATAGAAGTCCTTCTCTTTTGCTCCAACCCAGATCAAAGACTTGGATAGAGGGGTCTCCCCACCCTCCTGCCTGGCATGGAAGGAAGGGATTACCCCCGAAATTAGAAACCCCAGTGCAGTGGGCTTACCCTCCTACCTGGGGGATAGGGGGTGAGACCTGGAGCCTCTCTTGTCAATAGGAACAGACCAGGACAAAGATGGGATAAACTCAGGGTGCCCCGCTCTGTTCTGGCAGCAGAGGAGACAAACTTGCTCTCTCTTCCCTTCAGCCTTCAAAAGAGAAATTCTCTGATCTTCTGTGCACAGGTTTTAGTTAACATCTACAAGTTGCTAGGATCATGTTTATGTTATCAGTAAACCTTCCCTTCCCTCCCACCCAAGTAATAGTCCCCATCCAGAGCATCAGAAGCTCCCCCTAAACTCTGAGTCTGAGATATCGGGGAGCTGAGGGAGGCGGGAAGAAGCTGCAAGGTGTGTGGCATCAATTCAGGTCACAGCCTCATCCATTTGTTCATTTGTTCTCAATACGACTCCCTACTTTTGCCTGGACATGCTGGGATCTGCTTAGGACTTGGGGGTGAAGGTACATTTCCTGGGAATACTTATTCGAGGGCTGGAAGTGCCTCAGTCCCCAGAGACTCCCCACCTAGTCCTGAAAGGAGACACCAAGAGTTAGGTAGGAGCAGGAGCACCAGGAAGCCGCCATTACTCTGAGACTCTCCAGGCCTACTTCCCTCTTCTATTCAGCATGGACCCAGCACACTAGTTAGTGCAGACCCTCCATGACAGGGTGTTCACAGAGATGAAACACACAAGCTCTCCAAATCCTGGCATCTTCTCCTTTGAAGGGACTTGAAAAATTATCTAAGACTCTCCCACTGTGGTATAAAAGAATCTTAAACAGAGAAGCAGCACAATCCCAGTTCACCCAGAGTCACCTGCTCAAGCCACATCCTGAAGCCAGATACCCTGACTCAGCAGGACCTCTGCGGCCAGGCGCGGTAGCTCATGCCTGTAATCCCAGCACTTTGGGAGCCCAAGGCAAGCAGATCACGAGGTCAGGAGAACAAAACTTTCCTGGCCAACACGGTGAAACCCCATCTCTACTAAAAATACACAAAAAAATTAGTGAGGTGTGGTGGCAAGCGCCTGTAATCCCAGCTACTTGGGAGGCTGAGGCAGGAGAATCACTTGAACCTGGGAGGCGGAGGTTGCAGTGAGCCAAGATCGTGTCACTGCACTCCAGCCTGGGCGACAGAGCAAGACTCTGTCTCAAAAAAAAAAAAAAGAAAAAGAAAAAGAAAAGAAAAAAAGAAAAAAGAAGGCCCTCTGCTACCCCAACTGCTGCCTTAGGTCTCCACATACGTTGCCCCACAAAGGAAATTCGGCTCCTAGAGAGCTTCGTCCCTCTGGGGCTGCTAGGGAACTCATTTGACGTTCTCTCTGTCACTTGTAGGAAATGTTACAAAATTGTGTTTGCATTGAAGCTTTTCTTTCTTCCAGACGTATTGTGTCATCATCTAGTAGGCTAACTAGTTGTTTTAACAGATGATATTATGGTTTGAAAGTGGATTATGCCTGTTCTTTCCCTGTTCTTCTACACACAGTCAAACGGGTCTTTTTGATGATTTATCTTTAGCTTCCCTCAACCCTTGAAACGTCAACCTTCTCTATGCTTTTGATTTCCTCTGAGATTCGTAAGAGTTTGTGACATTCTTCTGTATACACCCTTGATTTTGTGCCCCTCCTTCCATCTTTGTGTGTGTTCTCTTCAAATTGGCGCTCATCAGCAGAAATGCTGTTTTCTTTGGATGTCTCTTTTCTTCCTCATTAGGATCATTTGCAATTTTAGGTTCTGAATTTTATTTTTAGAGCCATCCTTTCTTAGCCATACTCCCTTTCAGAGGTTCTCACTATGAGATCATCTGTTTTGAATGTTTTGAAATCTGCTTTCCTCAAGTCTGTAAGTCTGAAGACACACATCCTGCTTTAATAGGATGGACACTGGCCCAAGCTGTTATTATTTTCACATAACTCACAGTTCTTTGCTGGTCCTCTTGCTGTTACTTGTTTCTTTCAAGTGATGAAAATTATAATCAGGCTACTTAAAACTTTACCAAGTGCTCTGCTTTTTAAAGAAATAGGAGGCTTATAGGCTTCCACACAATGTATTTTTTTAAGTCAACATTTGTCATTGTATTTTGCCGTGATGCTAGTTTCCAAAGATGTCTGCAACAACAACTCCCATCCAATGTTATCTTCTAACTATGTGACTCTGACATTTCTCCCCTCAAAATGTGGGATCTCCACTCCCACCTCCTAGGGTGGGCAGGCTTGTGACTGTGGCAGAAGGAATGCCATGCAACTTTCAAGGCTGGATCATGAAAAGTGATGCAGCTTCTATCTGGCTCTTTCTGGGGATGCTTGTTCTTAGAACCCAGCAGCCACGCTATGGGGAAGACCCATTAGGTCATGTGAGAAATTACATGAAGAAGTCAAATGTAGGTATTCTGGATGATGGCCCAAGCGAGGTCCCAGCGAACAGTCACACCAGAGCGAGACATATGAGCGGAAGGCAGCCCCCAGATTATTCCAGCCCTCAGCCACACCCAACTGAGGTCCCAGATATTGTGGGGCAAAGACAAGCCATCTCTGCTTTGGCCTGTCTGAATTCCTGATCCACAGAAACCATGAAAGATAATAAAATGATTTTTTTAAACCACTGAGTTTTTTGAGATGATTTGTAATGCAGCAATGGAGAACTCATGCAATAATTAAAACCCATTAACTAAGAAATAAAAATTAAGACTCATTACGGATACATCATCTATACTCTTCTTCTGATTGATTGGTTCTTAATTTACTCCCATTCCAAAATTCTATCCCTGTAATTCAGTTCCAATTCCACCAGACGGAAGGGCAGCCATGACTGCATTGGTCCCAGTCATTGGACAGAGACAGGACAAATTGGAATCACTTACTCTTGGCTATAAAAGCAATTAGATCATCCTTGCTTAGTATACTGTGTGAACTTTTAAAAGAGCAAAATTAAAACATCTCTCACATACTTCTGTAGCTGATTAACATAACACAATTCTAGCAGACCCCCTATTGGAAAATATTCCTTCATTTTCCAACTTCTTGAGTCAGAGAGCATTTAGTTGCAATGAACAGAACTCATTCAAGCTAACATAAGCAAAAAAGAACATTGATTAGAAATAGAGGGATCTGGTGGAGCCCCAAGACAGGAAATGAGGCCAGGCTTCATAGGAATTAATGCCAGAAACTGCAAAGCTGACAAGAGCCAGACTGGCTTGTCTCTCCAAATCTCTTTCTCTCTAGAGCTATATTGTCTTTTATTTCTGGCTCTCTAAGGCACATGCCTTCTCAATCTCTCTCTCTCTCTCCAGAGAACAGTTTAGCATGTGGTATGTGATTAAGGGCAGTCTCCAAGCCAGGGTGCTAAATGCCAGCCCCACGACTTAGTTATTGGTGACTCTGGGCAAGTTCCTTAAGCTTCTGTTCTTCAGTTTCCTCATTTGTAAAGTGGGAATAAAGATAACAATGGTACTTTTACCTCATAAGATTGTTGTGAGATTGAATCAATATATGTAAAGTTCTTTGAACAGTGCCAGGCACGTTGCAAGCGTTTGCTTTCATTATTATCTTTCTTTGCTCACTTAACCATGTCTGAACATGGGTGCCTTGATACTAGCTTTTTATCTGTCTCAGTCTGTTTGTGCAGCTGTGACAAAATATCTTAGACTGGGTAATGTGTAAATAATAGGAATTTGTTTCTCACAGTTCTAGAGGCTGGGAAGTTCAAGATCAAGATGTCAGCAGATTAAGTGTCAGGTGAGGGCTCACTCTCTGCTTCCAAGATGAAGCCTTGTTGCGTGGTGGAAGGCAGCAAAAGCGATGAACTGTGTTCTTATACAGCAGAAGAGATGGAGGGGCAAAAAGGGATTAGGGTGCCCTCTTCAACCTCTTTGATGAGAGCATTAATCCCATTCATGAGAGTAGAATACTCATGACTTAATCACTTCCCAAAAGACCCTACCTCTTAATACGATCGCGTTGGGTATTAGATCTGAACAGTTGAGTTTTGGAGGTACACATACATTCAAACCATAGCAATAACCAACCCATAGTTCAAGTGCTTATCAGAAACCTAAGTTTCCAGCCGGGCACGGTGGCTCATGCCTGTAATCCCAGCACTTTGGGAGACCAAGGCTGGTGGATCATGAGGTCAGGAGTTCAAGACCAGCCTGGCCAACATGGTGAAACCCTGTCTCTACTCAAAATACAAAAATTAGCCAGGTGTGGTGGTGCATGCCTGCAATCCCAGCTACTCAGGAGGCTGAGGCAGGAGAATGACTTGAACCTGGGAGACAGAGATTGCGGTGAGCAGAGCTTAGATTGTGCCACTGCACTTCAGCCTGGATGACAGAGCGAGACTCCATCTCAAAAAAAAAAAAAAAAAAAAATCTAAGTTTCCGCGACCCAAATTTACATTCCTAGGTCAGAACGTGTCTGACTGGACCAGCTGGAGTTACGTGCCTGCCCACGATCTAATCAGCTGTGGCAGACGGTTAAGGGAGTGAGTGCTGAGGGGACTCAGCAGGGAGACAGGGAGTTGATTCTCTGAGAAGGGGCTGTGGGCTGGGCTGGGAAGAGGGCTTGCCCGCCACTACTCCCACCTCCATTTTCACATACGGCAGCTCTGCTATGTCAAACCTCAGCTTTAGCTCCCTGCTAAGCAGAAACTCTTCCTATTATTGACTGACCCAAACAGCATGAAGAAGGTGTCTTCCTTTAGCCAACGAGCACTTCTCTCTCCACATAACTCTCTCCACGTAACTAGTCTCCTCTCTCCACATAACTAGTCTCCTCTCTCCACATAACTCTCTCCACATAACTAGTCTCCTCTCTCCACATAACTAGTCTCCTCCCTCCACATAACTAGTCTTCTCTCTCCACATAACTAGTCTCCTCCCTCCACATAACTAGTCTCCTCTCTCCACATAACTCTCTCCACTTAACTAGTCTCCTCTCTCCACATAGTCTCCTGTCTCCGCTTGGCAATGAGGGCTCTAGTCCTCTGAGAAGCCAAAACACAAGTATCTCTTTATACTAGAAGATGACTTTTACAAATCTTCCCCTAGATTTTCCCCTCAGAAGTCAGCAAATTGTCCCTCTCACAGGGAAGACAAAAGGAAGAATCACTTCAGATCCCTCCCATTTGGTATTGTACTTTTTTTTTTTTTTTAATGGAGTCTCACTCTGTCGTGCAGGCTGGAATGCAGTGGTGCGATCTCAGCTCACTGCAACCTCTGCCTCCCAGGTTCAAGCAATTCTCCTGCCTCAGCCTCCCAAGTAGCTGGGATTACAGGCACGCGCCTCCATGCCCAGCTAGGTATTGTGCACTTAAGCTACTGATATTACACGTGGTGACTGTTAACTTGTTGAGTCTCCCACCAGTAATAGCAACTTCGAGAAACAACACTTAAAGTTATTGATCTCACCATACAGAAAAAGCAAATTAAGCAGAATGTTGAACAGAATGTGAATTGGCTAATCAAAAGGATAATGAGGTTTAAGGGAATACGGTGCCTTTCATTTCTATATATTATTCCAATCTCTATTCGATGCGGCCATTTGGGGTAAAATGCTATGAAACAGCATATTTCAAACCCTGTTCTTCAGAAATACTTGAATGTCACGGACAAATCGATAGCTCTTTAAATCACAGAGCTGCGCTCATTAGTGGTCCTCCCTTGGGGAGGAGATGGCTGCATCTGCCTACTCGGCGGGAATAGGCCAGCCTCCAAACTGGCATGAGCTGACCTTTCCTTGGGCTTGTTACTCTCTTATTGGTGATTCTTTCTGTAAAGTCTCAGAAACCTTAGTTTGCAATTGCCAATATGCTTGTTGTTTTAGGGTGTCACCATTAGACTGAGTGTCTGAGCAAGGCTATTAAGCATTGTGTATTCCTGAGAGGATCCTTTCAGAGAAAACAAGAGGTTGTTTTACGGGGAAATGACCCATGGCTCAGTATTAGCTCCATTAAATGACAGACAAGAAAGGAGGTATAATGTTCCCATCAAGTAGAATGAGAAGATTGCTCCCAACTTGTGGTCCCTGTTTCCTATATCCAATGCCCTCATTTCCTTTCCTCTGATTCCTCCTTTAGTGAATTGATTGCTTCCCCCATTTTTCTTCATGGAAATTGCTCTCTATGCAAGGTTATCAGACTTATTTGCAGTTTGAGCCAAAGAAGCAACATCTTTCACTCCATCCACTTCTACTGGAAGTAGACTGGACTATCTTAATCCAATATAATAGAAGCTTAAGAGAAAACAAGCGTGGCCTGTTATTAAATTATTGCCAAATACTTTACAAACTGTAAATGTCAGAAAAAACTACACACAAAAGCTCTAAGGCATGTGGAGACAAGTAATACAATTTACTTCAATAATAAGTATAGAGTTACTTATGCTCAACTCAGAAGCCCACAAGAAGTATATTTTTTGCCGAACTTCGCTGACCAACTCCTCCAAAGGGGCCACTCAACTTCTCTCTAGCCCATCACTCTATTTTAATTTTTTGCATAGCACTTACCACTCTGATATTTTTATAGTTCATGTTTATATTTGTTTTTTACTTATTTATTGTTTATATTTTCTACTAGAATGTAGTCCTTTTCTGTCTCTCTCTCTTACCACTGTATTCTCAATGCCTAGAACAGAGCCTAGTATATAGTAGGCACTCAATAAATACTTGTTGCATTAATGCACCGCCGAGTGCTGGGCCTCCTGGCTTCACCACCAGCTCCTAAAGAGAGTATCTTCCATCTTCCTTCCCCTCTTTAGCGTGGAGCCCTGCTGGCTCTTCATAATCCGTGTCTGGGGTTAGAGTGGAGCCCTGCTGGCTCTTCATAATCCGTGTCTGGGGTTACAGTGGAGCCCTGCTGGCTCTTCATAATCCGTGTCTGGGGTTACAGTGGAGCCCTGCTGGCCCTCCATAATCCGTGTCTGGGGTTGGAGTGGAGCCCTGCTGGCTCTCCATAATCCGTGTCTGGGGTTGGAGTGGAGCCCTGTTGGCTCTCCATAATCCATGTCTGGGGTTACAGTGGAGCCCTGCTGGCCCTCCATAATCCATGTCTGGGGTTGGAGTGGAGCCCTGTTGGCCCTCCATAATCCATGTCTGGGGTTAGAGTGGAGCCCTGCTGGCTCTTCATAATCCATGTCTAGGGTTAGAGTGGAGCCCTGCTGGCTCTTCATAATCCGTGTCTGGGGTTAGAGTGGAGCCCTGCTGGCTCTCCATAATCCATGTCTGGGATTAGAGTGGAGCCCTGCTGGCCCTCCATAATCCGTGTCTGGGGTTAGAGTGGAGCCCTGCTGGCCCTCCATAATCCGTGTCTGGGGTTAGAGTGGAGCCCTGCTGGCCCTCCATAATCCGTGTCTGGGGTTAGAGTGGAGCCCTGCTGGCTCTCCATAATCCGTGTCTGGGGTTGGAGTGGAGCTCTGTTGGCTCTCCATAATCCATGTCTGGGGTTAGAGTGGAGCCCTGCTGGCTCTTCATAATCCGTGTCTGGGGTTACAGTGGAGCCCTGCTGGCTCTTCATAATCCGTGTCTGGGGTTACAGTGGAGCCCTGCTGGCTCTTCATAATCCGTGTCTGGGGTTAGAGTGGAGCCCTGCTGGCTCTTCATAATCTGTGTCTGGGGTTAGAGTGGAGCCCTGCTGGCCCTCCATAATCCGTGTCTGGGGTTAGAGTGGAGCCCTGCTGGCTCTTCATAATCCGTGTATGGGGTTAGAGTGGAGCCCTGCTGGCCCTCCATAATCCGTGTCTGGGGTTAGAGTGGAGCCCTGCTGGCTCTCCATAATCCGTGTCTGGGGTTGGAGTGGAGCCCTGTTGGCTCTCCATAATCCATGTCTGGGGTTAGAGTGGAGCCCTGCTGGCTCTCCATAATCCATGTCTGGGGTTGGAGTGGAGCCCTGTTGGCTCTTCATAATCCGTGTCTGGGGTTACAGTGGAGCCCTGCTGGCTCTCCATAATCCGTGTCTGGGGTTGGAGTGGAGCCCTCTTGGCTCTCCATAATCCGTGTCTGGGGTTAGAGTGGAGCCCTGCTGGCTCTCCATAATCCGTGTCTGGGGTTGGAGTGGAGCCCTGTTGGCTCTCCATAATCCATGTCTGGGGTTAGAGTGGAGCCCTGCTGGCTCTTCATAATCCGTGTCTGGGGTTAGAGTGGAGCCCTGCTGGCTCTTCATAATCCGTGTCTGGGGTTACAGTGGAGCCCTGCTGGCTCTTCATAATCCGTGTCTGGGGTTACAGTGGAGCCCTGCTGGCTCTTCATAATCCGTGTCTGGGGTTACAGTGGAGCCCTGCTGGCTCTTCATAATCCGTGTCTGGGGTTACAGTGGAGCCCTGCTGGCCCTCCATAATCCGTGTCTGGGGTTGGAGTGGAGCCCTGCTGGCTCTCCATAATCCGTGTCTGGGGTTGGAGTGGAGCCCTGTTGGCTCTCCATAATCCATGTCTGGGGTTACAGTGGAGCCCTGCTGGCCCTCCATAATCCATGTCTGGGGTTGGAGTGGAGCCCTGCTGGCCCTCCATAATCCATGTCTGGGGTTGGAGTGGAGCCCTGTTGGCCCTCCATAATCCATGTCTGGGGTTAGAGTGGAGCCCTGCTGGCTCTTCATAATCCATGTCTAGGGTTAGAGTGGAGCCCTGCTGGCTCTTCATAATCCGTGTCTGGGGTTAGAGTGGAGCCCTGCTGGCTCTCCATAATCCATGTCTGGGATTAGAGTGGAGCCCTGCTGGCCCTCCATAATCCGTGTCTGGGGTTAGAGTGGAGCCCTGCTGGCCCTCCATAATCCGTGTCTGGGGTTAGAGTGGAGCCCTGCTGGCCCTCCATAATCCGTGTCTGGGGTTAGAGTGGAGCCCTGCTGGCTCTCCATAATCCGTGTCTGGGGTTGGAGTGGAGCTCTGTTGGCTCTCCATAATCCATGTCTGGGGTTAGAGTGGAGCCCTGCTGGCTCTTCATAATCCGTGTCTGGGGTTAGAGTGGAGCCCTGCTGGCTCTTCATAATCCGTGTCTGGGGTTACAGTGGAGCCCTGCTGGCTCTTCATAATCCGTGTCTGGGGTTAGAGTGGAGCCCTGCTGGCTCTTCATAATCTGTGTCTGGGGTTAGAGTGGAGCCCTGCTGGCCCTCCATAATCCGTGTCTGGGGTTAGAGTGGAGCCCTGCTGGCTCTTCATAATCCGTGTATGGGGTTAGAGTGGAGCCCTGCTGGCCCTCCATAATCCGTGTCTGGGGTTAGAGTGGAGCCCTGCTGGCTCTTCATAATCCGTGTCTGGGGTTACAGTGGAGCCCTGCTGGCTCTCCATAATCCATGTCTGGGGCTGTTTGAGCTCTAGCTGTATCTTAAGCTGTAGCTGTAGCTGTTGCTGCTGCTGTCAATGATGAAGCATCATTGCTGCTGTCAATGATGAAGCTGGGAAAAGGGGAGGTGAGCTCTGGGTTTTCAAAAGCCATTTTTGTCTTTTTGGCAAACGCTGAAAGAGTCAAGTTTTGCTATGGACTTGTTTTCTCTTTAAAAACCAGTCAGGCATGTAGGGGGCAAATCCACGCATCAGCCTCATGTGCACTGAACTCCGAGGAGCAGCCAGGAACGAGGCCTGGTGTGTGGTGAGCAATTAGAGCTACAATTCTAGCAGCAGAGCATACAAAACCAAACCAGATCACCTCCAAACCTCCATATGCCTGACATCCAGTCTTGAAATCCTAGTCATTTTAGTCATCTGTGACTTCTTCAATCCCCGTTCAATTTGCATCTCATTCAAAGCACACCAAGTCCTCTTGCGTCAGCTGTTGCACTGCACCATGCAAGCATTTACAATTCCTGCTGCACCTCCGTTCCTGGTTTACATTTATCACAGTTCATAGAATGTTAGTTCCTTGGGGGCTGAGACCATGTCTTATCATTTGTTTTCCCCTTCCCCAGTATAGTGACTTTCATAGAGTAGAAATTAAAAATATATATTATCTGCCTAACATTTATGTCTTCCTAGACAACAATACTCATCTGGAGAAAGACTAGGAATCATACATAAATGTAAAACATAATGGAGCTATTCGGGAGATAGTAAAGGAGTGCAATTGTGTCTTTATTTCCTGTTTGTTTGGCATCTCCCATACCAAAAGACTGGGGGCCCCACCTCATGATTTCTTCCATAGTTTAGAGAAGATGCCTGCTTTTCTTGTGGCCAAGCCATGAGGGTCACTGCCCTATGGACGATGGAAGACATAACAGAAAGCAAAGAGGTGAGAGCCTCCCCTTCTTGCTCCAGTGGACACTGCGAGAAGGAAAAGAGAGAAATAGGGGAAGGAAACAGACCTGAGATTTTTGGCCCCCCAGCCCCACCCCCAAGCTTGAAATCCAAGACTGTGGATTAGGATTAGGGGTTGTTAGGTAGTCTTGGGGGAAAGCAAAAGCAAAGATTTTTTTTTTTTTTAACACGCCTTCCATTCCACGGTGGCATTTGTGAGATCAGCTTGCAGGCCCCACCACTAAGAGGGGGTAGCCATACTAAGAGTGAAAAATGCTCACATACGGTGGTGAGGCGGGGAGAGGCCTGTGTCAATGCTCCCGCAAGGGAGCATAGGTTCCCTATGGAAGAGCCCAGAGGTTCCTATGTACCCCTTGGGACATAGAGATGGTCATTGAGGCAAAAGCCAATGGGCCTCACATGCGGGATCCACGTTGAGGAATAGGGTGGTCTTAGGCTGGAGGGGTATGTAGCTGAGACTCAGAAGGTGTTGAGTCAGCAAGGGGGTGCGCTAGGCACTGACTGAACCACAAGGTCCACTGTGGAAATCATAAACCAATCAAATACCTGGCCAGCAACAGGAACCCACAAAGACCCAGAGGCCAGCACAGGACAAGCAAGAACTCCAAGGCTACTCCCCATCCACCCTGCTGCCATCTTGGGGAAGAACAGGGGGACGGGAGAGAAATCAGCACTTCTGAGCATTTGCCCCAGTGAGCCTCTCAAAACTGAAGTCAAATGAGTTACTGTTCATTGTCAAGTGCTCATGATCTTTACTTGCACTGTACAACAGGGAGAGGACTCTCAAGAAAGATTAGGCCAGTCATAGAACAACCTCCACATACTCTTTTTCACCTCTGAGCAGTTGTACATAAATTTGCCACTGCATTACATATCTTTATCAAGTATTTGGTCTTTCTTTATCTAAGAGTTCCTTAAAATATGGTCTAGTGTTATGACTACTCGTGACACCAAATAATTGGGGTGTCTTCAGAACTAAAAATTGATATCTAGTCTGGGTGGCTCACACCTGTAATTCCAGCACCGTGGGAGGCCAAGGTGGGCAGATCACTTGAGGTCAGGAGTTCGAGACCAGCCTGGCCAACATAGTGAAACTCCATCTCTACTAAAAATACAAGAAGTAGCCAGGCATGGTGGCCCGCTGTAATCCCAGCTACTTGGGAGGCTGAGGCAAGAGAATCACTTGAACCTGGGAGGTGGAGGTTGCAGCAAGCCGAGATCACACCACTGTACTCCAGCCTGGGTGACAGAGAAAGACTCTGTCTCAAAAAACAAACAAACAAACAAACCAAAAAGATATCGAGCAAATGGATGTGGTTCCAAGATAACAAGAAGTTTGAAAGAATACTTCAGCGTATGACATCATAAGAAGACAGGACATCTCGCTGCTTGACTTAGGCAAAGTCATGGTGGGGGTCCCCATGTGTAATGCACTAAGTCCCCTCAGGGATGTCTTCCACCCTCTTACTGTCCCCTGTGAATTGCAGCAAGATGGGTTCTAGAGAGAAAAGGAGGGCAAGGTGGCCTGGAAAGACAGGGAGCTCAGACAGAAGGGCAAGCTGATAAATACACCTATTTATCACTGCACAATCCTTGGTCTTTCTCGTCCTATTGATTTTCATGCTTTGCTGTATATGCTGCTGTGTCGGAAGGAATGCGTGTACTTGCAAACAACCTTGCAATGGAGTGATCACAGCTTCAGCAAAAGGCTTCAGGCAAAACCTCCCCTAACCCTAACTCGGCCTCTAGTCCCATTTTTCCACCACTGTGTGTGTTAGAAGGGGATGGGCCCTGTCTCCAGATCTTCAGTCATCATTATCTGGAAGGCCAGGTCTTTGCACATACCCATCTTGGAATCCTTGAGCTATTTCCCCTTATGTTTGATGAGTGAGTGAATGCATGAAAGGATGCATGCCAGCCTGGGCAACATGAGGAAGCCCCATCTCTACCAAAAACACACAAAAAATAGCCTGGCATGGTGGCACACTCCTGCGGTTGCAGCTACTTAGGGGGCTGAGGTGGAAGGATAGCTTGAGCCCGGGAAGCGGAGGTTGCAGTGAGCTGACATCACACCACTGTGCTCCAGCCTAGGTGACAAAGTGAGACCCTGTCTGAAAGAAAGAAAGGAAGAAGGAAGGAAGGAAGGAAAAGAAAGAAAAAGAAAAAAGAAAGGATACATGAGTGAGTCTAGGCAGAGGTGGTAGCCTACAGTTCTTAGAAAAAAAGAAATCCTTGTGGGCTTGATTTGACAGGGGAAAGGGTGAGAGGCATAGCAATCTGCCATAGAAGAGATTTGTTGGTTCCTGTCTTCTCCTAGCCTAAGAAGCAGATCTGGGGAAGACCTAGAGGACTCTGGGGTAGCCTGTGATCCTGTGTGACCATGAGAGCTCCAGGGTAGCCCAGAATTACTCCTGATCAAGAGAAGCCCCAAGAATTTGAGGTGGTTTCAGGGCAAATCAAGTTACTTCAAAGCACTCGGCTTCCACTTACTTGATAAAAACCTCAGAGGATTGTGTGACTGAGAGGAGGGTCAGGAGAGGTCAGGAGAGGAGGGGAGACCCTGCATACCGAGAACAGTTGTTTCCATGAAGGAGGCTAGCAGGGTATGAACATTTCTTAGGAGAAAATGTATCTGAGAACGAACAGGGGAGAGAGGTGAGAGGTGAAGGCTGGGAGCTAGAGAGGCAAGAGGGGCTGGTGGAGGGTTGGGATCAGAAAGGGGCATAGTTAAAGTGGGGAGGGAGAAGGCAGATGGCAAAGGAATACCAAAGCCTTTGCAAAAACACAGATGTGAAGAACCAAAAGATGGCCAGGTGCGGTGGCTCATGCCTGTAATCCCAGCACTGTGGGAGGTCGAGATGGAAGGATGACTTGTGCCCAGGAGTACAAGACCAGCCTGGGCAACATAGTGAGACCCCCATCTCTACAAAAAAATTAAAAAATTAGCTAGCTGTGGTGGCGCATGCCTGTAGAATCAGCTACTTGGGAGTCTGAGGTGGGAGAATTGCTTGACCAGGGAGGTCAAGGCTGCAATGAGCTGTAATTGCCCCACTGCACTCCAGCCTGGGTGACACAGAAAAATCCTGTCTGAAAAAAAAAAAACAAAACAACTCAGAAGGCCTTAAATCTCCAACACTACTCCCTACCTCACTCCACCTGTCTTTTAACAAGAAAATGGAGGCTTTGAGAGTTTCAACCAGTAGTTCAGCATCACACAAGCCATGGAGACAGGTCAGGGTCCAGGCCAGGACCACTGGCTCCTGGTGTAGAGCTCCTTGAGTCTTGTGCAACACCTCTGGACCTCCCAAAAAGAGACGGTTTGACTGAGAAAGTTGAGGAAGTGGCCTGAGCGAAGAAGATGGACCAGGACAATGAAGATGTCGGGAAATCCATACAACTTTGCCCACTAGGAATAGACAGCATTCAGTGAATAGCGTTCAGTCCTATTAAAGCTCCTGTTTGCGAGGAACTGGCAAACCATGAAGCTCTTCTTGACTAGAAGACAATTACTGATGAAAAAAATTAATGGAGGCCTATGCCTTTCCTCATGTATGAGCTCAGAGCAGCCATGAAAATCAAGAGTAGCTCTTCTGAAGCATCAGCAGAACTCCCTGAGCCTTCTCCTCACTCCCCACTGACAAAAAGAGACCCAAGTCTCCTCAACAGGATTCCAAGGGCAGGGTGAATGTGTGGTTGATGAAGGAAAGATTCCTTATGGCTTTAGACTGTACTGTTTCTGAGGGGGGAAACGTGTTTGCCTTTGGAACACGTGCTTTCTTTATTCAATCAAACGAAGAAAGCAACCTGAGCCTGATACAAAAACTCACAGAAGAGGCTCTTATTGTCTGAGACCAGAGGTCTAGAAGCCTCTTCCCTGGGGCCCCAGGAGAAAAAAGGTGGAACAAACATTAACGCTCATTCCTATGCCGCCTGGGTGTTACTGTGGGCTTCATGACTCAAGAAAAATCTAAGAGAGAGAGAGCGCTTTGTGAGTTTTCAGACTCAAAAGTTAGAGACTGCACGGACCAACCTGAGAGCAGGTGAGTCCGGTTAGGAGGGAGCAGAAGTGCTTTTGGAGGGTGCTCATTGCCGTGTTGTTACTCGTGGCGGGGAAACTGAAAGTCACCCAGAGTGTGTCACGGGGAAAGTGAAGAGGGAAAGCTGGCTAGAACAACACACGGCAATGTGGATGGATCATAAAGGCAGAGTGCTGGGTGGAAGGAGGAGGGAAAGAATGCACTATGTGAGACAACACCATTTAGGTACAACAAAAACACATGAAAATACCACCATATGGTTTGCAAGAAATATACAAAAGGATATATACTAAATCCATAATTGCCTATGGGGGGAAGGAGAATGGGAGGGGTGCATGGAAGAATAAACATAAATAATGAACACAAAAGCAGGCCCTGCACAGACCAAAGAGGACAGCATGCCTTTGTACTTGAGGTCCAAATGTGTAGGAGTGGAGGGGGACTCCAAGTAGGCCCTCCTTATAAAGATCTAAGTCTGTCCTTGTGAGATTCAGGAAAAATTCTAAGTAGATGCGTGCTCTAGGTTCTGTTGCTACTCTATGAAATCACCCTGATCCTTCAGGAAAGAAATCTACATGTGCCTGATGTGTAAGCTTGTGGGGCCTGAAGAGTCAGTGGGTCCGGAGGAGAGGGCTCACTTCTACCCACTGGCCGCTAAGATGTCATCCTATCTGGGGGCCTTTGGCTCAGAATTCCAGGTGTTGTGGGGGGGGTACGGGAAGGCGGCCTACACTGAGATAGCCACAGTAGGAGGAAGTGCTACTATCTACAAGAGAGGACGCCTGGCCAAGACACTGATGGAACTTTCTGATATCTCAGAAACAACTGTTATCTTCAAGAAGCAGGCAGTGGCCCCCGGCAAGCTCTTGTGGTGTGTATTATCAATGTGCAGGTGAGCCAACTGAGGCTTAGAAAGGTTAGGCAGTTTGCCCAATGTCACACAACTATCTAAGTGGCTGGGGCAGAATGTAAACTAGGTGTGTATGGCTCTAAAACCTGAGCTCTTTTTTGTTTGTTTGTTTGTTGTTTTTGCTTTTGTTTTTTTGAGACAGAGTCTCGCCCTGTCGCCCAGGCTGGAGTGCAGTGGCGCGATCTCAGCTCACTGCAACCTTTGCCTCTGGGTTCAAGGGATTCCCCTGCCTCAGCCTCCTGAGTAGCTGGGATCACAGGCGTGAGCCACCACACCCAGCTAATTTTTTTCTGTATTTAGTAGAGATGGGGTTTTACCATGTTGGTCAGGCTGATCTCAATCTCCTGACCTCAGGTGATCCACCCGCCTCGGCCTCCCGAAGTGCTGAGATTATAGGCATGAGCCACCACAACCAGCCAAACCTGAGCTCTTAACTGCCATTTTATAACGGGCCCAAAATGTCCATACACACACGTGCACACTGTCACATGCACACTTACCGGGGTATGTTGCAAAAGGTACATGTCATGAAATGAATTCATACTCTTGGAACTTCCATCCTGCTCTTGAGGCGCTGTGGAAGGGGATTCTCACGGGCAGACAAGGGCAGCTGGGATGGCCTCAGAGTTCCCGTGCAAAACCAACTAAAAGTGACAAGAAGGAGACAGACGGGGGGAGAAGCAGGGTAGAGGAAAAGGGAGGAGTTTCTCAGGGTGTGATGTGGCTTCAGAAATAGCAACTGAAGACGAACTTGGAGAAAAGCTTTGACGCAGACATGTCCTTGAGTGCAATTCCATCCGAGGCTGGAAGAGATGGAAAAAATGAAGGTCATCGGAAGAGTTCTGATGAACCCACTCTTATCTCTCATGCACCTCTCATGGCAAATGATGATGGTAGAAGAAGTGGTAAGATTTCAGAGTCTGAAGGGACACCCAGAGGTTGTCTCAGCCGATGCCTTGGAGGGCAGTGGAGAGGACAGTGACTTGTTCCAGGCCACACAAAGACAAGAACGGAGGCCTCTGGCTCCTAGGCCAGTGCTGGCCGACCTGTGCCAGATTGCTGTCCTCCTAAGTCAACTTGGATGGACAACACCCTCTGCCTACCCAGCAGGCCCTGTTCCTTCTTCTGCTCCTTCTCCTTCCAGTGTTTTATTCTTTCCAGGAGCTGTTTCTTCTCAGGAGTAGGATAAGAGGCAGGGAGGCCAAATACTGCCTCCCAGGACTAGAGGGCAAGTGCTCAGGGGAGAAGTTCTGGACAGATGGGCAATTTGGCCATGGTTGAACTCTCATGGCTTGCCTTCTTTTCCGGCCTCTTCCTTATGTATCCCTGTCCAACTTCTAAGCCCTCCCATTCTTTCATTTTAAACCTGAGGTGGGGAGCTGTGGCCTTAATTTTGAAAATTTGGTTGAGTTTCTTCTTCAGGGAGAGACCTGGACCCTGATGCAACCACAGCGGGGCCTCCCTCAGCAGGAGAACCAGAGTCTGTCTCAACAGATTTTCTTTCTTCCCTCTGAAGCAAGAGCCACTCCCAGAACACAAAAGACACAGAGACTCCTGTCTCCTTGGGGGATTTAATTACTGACATTAGCTGATATCCTCTTCAGTAGCAGCGTCTCTGCCTCACTGCTTCTGAAGAAGAGGGACGTGGAATTTAAATTCTTATCCAGGCTGGGTAGGAGACATTCCCCCACAGGCACACGGAGAGTGTAGGATAAGTGGCCACCTACACAGTTTCAGAGGCTCTGAGCCCCCGAACACAGCCACCATTCACTAGCAGATGCCTGAAGTCCACCACCCAAGTTTTTGCAGGTTATTGGACCGTTAAAATTCAAATATTCCTGGAAGGGATGATAGTGATGACCAGCCACTTGCAACTTGGTATAATTTATGTTCAGATCACACTCCAGAAGCATTTTTTAGAGGGACAGGGGCTGGCGGGGGGAGAAAATCATCGGATGACTGACGAGGGAAGGAAGTGAAGCAAGAGCAAGGTCCATAGATTAGAAGGGGAGAGCCCAGGAAGAGGCCGGGGGCTCAGAGGGTGAGCCTGGCCGGCCCTGCCAGCTGGCCTGGAGCAGTGGGTCTCCGTGTGGCTCCAGGATCAGCAGCACCAGCATGGCCTGGGGTCCTGTTAGACACGCAGATTCTGGAGCCCCCCTCCAGATCTACTGAATCAGAAACTGGGGGTGGGGCCAAGCAGTCTCTCCATTTTACCAAGCCCTGCAGGTGATTGATGCATAGTCAGGTGTAAGAACCACTGGCTTACAGCCCGTTCTGTGTGCAATACGTCACCAACCTCCCAGCTCCCCATCCCCGGCCACTCATCAAGCTCCCTTCTCTGACCTGCCTTACGACGACTCCTTGGCTTTGCTAGAGGGAGGCACGAGAAACCACCATGGGCGTGGTTAGGAGAGTGGCAAAGTAAAGCTCTTTAGCCGTGAAAGCTCTGTGGCATAGGAGATGGGCTGGTGACAGAGAACATGGCTGCCTTTGGCTATAAGGGCAAAGGGTTTGGGGCGGAGCTGGGGGAATAGCTGATGAGGTGAAATTGCAAGTGAAAACGAGTGATCATCCGAAGGAAGCCCCCCAGAGCAGCCCCCTGGGCCTCCGAGACACTCAGGCAGGGATTGTACTACGTGAGCAGGTAGAAAAACAGAGACAGAAGCCTGCTGAAGAAGGCTGAAGGACTGACTGGGGCCCCAGAGGGTGTGGGTTCTGAGCTGGGAGGTACCATGGGGTGGGCGAGCTCACCTCCTCCCTCCCTCAGCATTTCCTCCCTCTGGGTGCTCAAGATGCATTTCTTAAGCCAATTCATTTCCTGGTTAATCCCCACCCCCATCCCCAACTCCCACCCCAATGCTTGGCCCAGGTAACCCTTGTGGCAGAGACAAGAAGGAGATCCAGGGACTCTGACGGTGAAGGCTGAACGAGTCCTCTGCAAGCTGGACACTTCCTTACCTGGCTCTATTTTTCTTTACAGCACTTGTCAGCATCTGAAATACCACATGTTTTTTCTATTTCCTTCCACTAGAATGTGAGCTCCATGAGGGCATTGTATTAGTTCATTCTCACACTGCTGTAAAAGAAATGCCTGAGGCTGGGTAATTTATAAAGAAAAGAGGTTGGCTGGGGGAGGTGGCTCACACCTGTAATCCCAGGACTTTGGGAGGCTGAAGTGGGCAGATTGCTTGAGGTCAGGAGTTCAAGACCAGCCTAGCCAACATGGAGAAACCCCGTCTCTACTAAAAATACAAAAATTAGCTAGGCATGGTGGCACATGCCTGTAGTCCCAGCTACTCAAGAGGCTGAGGGCGGAGAATCGCTTGAACCCGGGAGGTGGAGGTTGCAGTGAGCTGAGATTGTGCTACTGCACTCCAGCCTGGGTGACAGAGCGAGGCTTCTTCTCAAAAAAAAAAAAAAGACGATGATTTAATCATGTGATTATAGATGACTTTCTCTTCTCTACACTTTGTCACTGTAGGGAACAAAGAAAAACTTCCTCTTTGCTCTCTGAAGGTTTGCTGACAATCAACTGACAAAAGGCAGATGAATCAGAGACAAAGACAGTACAAATTCATTGTACTGTGCGTAGCATGGGGGACTTGCAGGAGAATGATCACCCAATAACCCAATGGAATCCAGATGTTTATATAACTTTCTTCATAGGGGAGGGAGCAAATGGGAAATGTAGGTAATTCTTTCTTATTTTTTTCTGAATCTAATTTGAAAAGCCATGTTATTTCTTTTGAGGATCAATAAATTATTATTAGGGAGAATGAGTGGATCAAAAGTTAATCTGTAAATGATTCTCTTTGGAATGTGAATGACCCTGAGAGACAGATATCTGATGAAAAGGTCCATCCTGGTGTGGTTACATTCCTCAGCCTTCATCTCTGTCATAGACATTGAGATTTCAGGGAGGGGATGGGAAGCAATTGTTCTCCTTGGTGGGTCCAGTTTTTATGTAGCTAAGAAAAAACCCATTCCTGCATCTGCTGATCTCTAAGAGCCTTAATTCAAAATACTCATCATACTGCGGCAATGTATTTTGGTGTGAAATTATTCTGGTTTCCTCCACCACCATTCCAAAAGGGCTCCAGTGTAATTTAGTACAGTGTATTACAGCTGAGAGATTTGAAGACACAAATTCTTTCTAAAGAGGAGACAAAAATAAGGACAATAGGAATTTGAAGCAAGGCCCTTGGCCCCCTAAAGGCTTGCTGAAAACCATCATTGACATGAGGCAGATTGATTAATGGGAGAAAAGGCATACAGATTTATTTAATGTGTATACATGGGAGCCTTCAGAATGAAGACCCAACCTCCCAGTGATGTACAAAAGCTTGTATACCATCTCGAGGTTACCGATAGAATGGGGGCTTGCATCCTGATCAAACAGGCTATGGTAGCGGGCAGAAGAGGAATTCTCTTGAGAGGATTACTAGGAAGAGTGAATCGATTCAGGACTCTGAGACAGTCACTGTACCTGTAACGTGTCTGTTCAGGTGTGCTTAGGTTGTTGGACTCATTTTCCACAGTAGATAGGCAGATAAAGGAACTTCAAGTTATATGGCAGAGAAAGTGATGAGGGAGGTCAGAGAGACCTGGAAGCTTCTTCAGCTCAGCATGTCAAAATGCCGTATTTTGGGGTATTGGTTTCTAAGCCCCAGCATACAGAAAACATTATACATGGCCCAACTTCTAGCCAGATTAACATAAATCTCACACTGATGGGCTATTTACATCAGTTTCTATTACTCAATTACATCATTTTTGGCTTTCAAAAAATGTTATAAGCTATGCTAAAAGGCAAGAAAAAGCAAAGTCTGAAGAAATGAGCAAGCACCAGAACCAGATCTGGATATGATGCAAATGCTGGAATGATCAGACAGGGAATTTAAAATGACTATGATTAATACATGCAGGATTCTACTGCAAGGACATAGAGTTAATGTAAGCTCAGAGATGGAAACTCTAAGAAAGAATCAAAAGAAAACACTAGAAATTGGCTGGGTGCAGTGGCTCACGCCTATAATCCCAGCACGTTGGGAGGCCGAGGAGGGTGGATCACGAGGTCAGGAGATTGAGACCATCCTGGCTAACATGGTGAAACCCATAAAAAATTAGCTGGTCGTGGTAGCACACACATGTAGTCCCAGCTACTTGGGAGGCTGAGGCAGGAGAATCGCTTGAACCCAGGAGGCAGAAGTTGGAGTGAGCTGAGATGGCGCTACTGCACTCCAGCCTGGGTGACAGAGCAAGGCTCCATCTCAAAAAGAAAAGAGAAGAAGAGAAGAGAAGAGAAAAGAAAAGAAAAAAAAGTTTAATTGGCTCATGGTCCTACAGACTGTACAGGGAGCATAGTGCTGGCATCAGCATCTGGTGAGGGCCTCAGAAAGCTTTTAATCACAGTGGAAGGTGAAGCAGGAGCTGGGTGTCACATGGTGAGAGTGGAAGCGAGAGAGAGAGGGGGCAGGTGCCACATGTTTTTAGACAACCAGATCTCATGAGAACGCACTCACCGCCTCTAGGACAGCACCCAGCCATTCATGAGGGTCCACCCACGAGACCCAAACACCTCCCACCAAGCCCCGCCTCCAATATTGGGATTACATTTCAACATGAGATTTGGAGGGGACAGTCATCCAAACTATATCAGGCATTATCGACTACTCTATCTGCTTTATTTACCAACCAGTCCCCAAGGGCCTAGGACAGGGCTGGCACATAGTAAGCACTCAATAAGTATAAATTTTTAAAAAATGAATGAATCTTAAAGTCATTCCAACCTTAAACTTTGCTCCTTGTCTATCAACATTTCTGCTAATATAAAAATGATTTTTCTCCAAATGGTAGAGTAAAAATCAATGTCTCGTGTCTTCCACAAAGCTGGGGTTTCAAATGACTGCATACATCACAGCTCCAGGCACCACCAGAGCAAAGCTTCCCTAGGATCAGGCAGCAAGGATGAAAGAGGATGGGGCTGTGAGGGCCAGGGCCCCTTTGTGGAGGAAGAATCAGTTTACAGAGGCTCATGTCTCCGTTCAGCCAGATGAGTGTTTCTGGGAGGTGGGAGAACAGAAAAGTTACAATCAAGTGTTAAGATGATGTCAACAAACTTGTCTACCCAGTGCCTGGCCCAATAAGGTTATCAAAATCTCCATTTCAATCTGAACTCCAGTGAAATTTTGATGAACAAGATATTCAGGGAACATTCCTTGCAAGACAAGGCTCTCCTTGACCTCAGGAACAGAGCCTTAGTCCCTTTGTTCTAGTACTGGGCACAGGATGTACCTAGAAAGCCCTAAATGAATGCCTGATGAATGAAAAATATTCATTTCAATTCATTTTTTTCTGATACGAAATTATATTTCAGGCCTTGTCTTTAAAAGTCATTCTAAGATGTATTCAGTAACATTTTTACATTAGCAAGTGAAGAGTACTGACTTCCTTGCATCTTCCCATGAGCATAAAACGTCACGCAAATGGCCATTTGCAAGCACCCTGACTCTCCCTGATCATGTGTCACTGTGGGAGGCTGTGGGCAGGATGCAAAAGGGGTATGAGATTGAATTTATTTTAATCCCCAGAAATCATGGACCATTAAAAGTATCTCTTGATACCTTTTTCCACAGCCTAATTTGACACATGGAGAACCCAAGGCTGAGAGAAGGGAAGCGGCTTCCCCAGGGCATTCGGTATGTGAAGGGCATCATCAGAACTAGAATCCTGGTCTCTTGACTCCCAAGTTCAACACTTTTTCCATTTTGTAGATTCATCTCTATCTCCTAAGAGTAAAAGGCAGGAGAAATTCAGATTAATTCATGTTTAAATTCTATACTAAGGTAAAGAGATATCAGTTTGTCTATAAGGATATGTTTATTGAGATTCTACTTTATATGGTACTCAGTTAGTACTATCTTTGTTACTACAGGGTAATAAGATTAAGCATATACAAAGTTGTTCCTATCCATTGCATAATGCTATCAATAATAATAGTAAGTTTCCATTTTTTGTCCCTGCTTATTTAGTCCCTGCTTATACGCCTTATAGGTATTACCACGAGTAATTCTCACAACAGCCTGATACAATATATTTCTGTATTAAGCCTCTTTGGGTTGCTCATGACAGAAACCCAACTCAAACAAGCTTAAGAAAAAAAGGAATTACTGGTGCACATGAATGAAAACATCAGGAGTTGTCCGGTTTCCGCCCAGGCTGGCTCCACGGGCTCAGGTAACGTCAGAAACCTCTCTGTCTCCCTTCATTTCCACTATGTTAGCGTCACTCTCCAGTATGTTCTCTCGTATATTGGGAAAGATGACCCCCAGTAGCTCTGGATTTCATGAACTTTACATCTTATGACAGAGTCTCGCTCTGTCACCCAGGCTGCAGTGCAGTGGTGCAATCTCGGCTCACTGCAACCTCCGCCTCCCAGGTTCAAGCAATTCTCCTGCTTCAGCTTCCTGAGTAATTGGGATTACAGGTGCCCACCACCATGCCCGGCTAATTTTTGTATTTTTAGTAAAGACAGGTTTCACTATGTTGGCCAGGCTGGGCTTGAACTCCTGACCTCAGGCGATTCGCCCACCTCAGCCTCCCAAAGTGCTGGGATTACAGGTGTGAGCCACTGCGCCCGGCCTTTTTTTTTTTTTTTTTTTTTTTTTTCTGATGGAGTCTCTCTCTGTCGCCAGGCTGGAGTGGAGTGGTGCGATCTCCACTCACTGCAACATCCACCTCCTGGGTTCAAGAGATTCCCCTGCCTCAGCCTCCCAAGTAGCTGGGACTACAGGCACACACCACCACGCCCAGCTAATTTTTTGTGTTTGTTGTTGTTGTTTTTGAGACAGAGTTTCACTCTTCTTGCCCAGGCTGGAGTACAATGGTGTGATCTTGGCTCACTGCAACCTCCGCCTCCCAGGTTCAAGCGATTCTCCTGCCTCAGCCTCCCGAGTAGCTGGGATTACAGGCACGCGCCACCACACCCGGCTAGTTTCGTATTTTTAGTAAAGATGGGGTTTCTCCATGTTGGTCAGGCTGGTCTCAAACTCCCGACCTCAGGTTACGCCTGCCTCGGCCTCCCAAAGTGTTGGGATTACAGGCGTGAGCCACTGCGCCTGGCAATTTTTTGTATTTTAGTAGGACAGGGTTTCACCATGTTGGCCAGGATGGTCTTGATCTCCTGACCTCATGATCCGCCCGCCTCAGCCTCCCAAAGTGCTGGGATTACAGGCGTGAGCCACCGCTCCCCAGGCTATGTCTTATGATTTTAGAAGGAGAGAGCCCTATTTTGACCCAGCATCCACATTTCCCCTCCTCACGAATCTTGACTGAGCATCTTTGGGTCTTGTGAGCGTGTCTTCATCAATTATTGTGTCTAGGAGAATTGGGATATTTTGATCAGCCGCTCTCTAGGGTGGGGGTGGAGAGTTTCTTTTATCAGTGGAATGAAAGAAGGGCAATTCATAATCCCATTCTACATAGGATGAAGTGGAAATTCAGAGAAATCAAGGACTGGACCATAATTGCCTAAAGGCCAGACGGCCTGTTAAGGGCAAAGCTGGGACATAAACTAGTTGTCTCCAAAGCCTATTTTTAAAATTTTTCCTGTTGTTGTCATTGAGCAGGGGAAGGACTCATTCACATACCTTAAAATTCACCGTTTTAAAGTGTGTAATCCAGTGAAAACCCTGTTTAATCAACAGGCCAAGTGTTTTCAACTTCGGTGTGATCACTGTTCACTTGTGAAGTATGTGGTAAGCAATGTGTTGCTATTAATAGCTGAATTACCAAAGTTATTAGAATGATTTACTTCAAAAAATGGAAATCAGAATTAACAAAAGATTACCCTGTTCATAATGCCATCCCCATTTCCAGGCCGGGCTTGTTGGCTCCGCCTGTAATCCCAGCGCTGTGGGAGGCCGAGGCGGGTGGATCACCTGAGGTCAGGAGTTCGAGACCAGCCTGGCCAACATGGTGAAACCCCGTCTCTACTAAAAATACAAAAAATTAGTCAGGCATGGTGGTGGGTGCCTGTAGTCCCAGCTACTCAGGAGGCTGAGGCAGGAGAATCGCTTGAACCTGGGAGGCGGAGGTTGTAGTGAGCTGAGATCACACCATTGCACTCCAGCCTGGGCGACAGAGCGAGACTCTGTCTCAAAATAATAATAATAAAACAATGCCATCCCCATTTCCTTGAACTCTGATGTCCAGCACAGCTCCTGCCTAGAGGCGTTGGCACCCATTTGGAGTGGTTCCAAGGAGAAAATGGCAGAGCACGTGACACAGCCTGCCATAAAGCTGTCTCCATCACAAGACAGAATGGGTAAGCACCCCAAGACAGTACAGAGTGTTCCAGGAAAACTACTTAGAAATGGCAAATCAGTTCAGCAACGTTTCAGATTATAAGAAAAAAATTAAATCAATACACCGTTTCTAGAGTCCAGTGATGAAGACTAGAAGGAAATGCAATAGAGAGAGCTCATTCCCTGAAGAATCCAAATCATTAAGTATTTTGCAATTCACGTAAAAGGACATGAAGAATGCATTCAAAGAAAATTACAAACCTCTAATAGAAAAATAAAAACGAATAAATGGAGCTTCTGCCTGGGAAGATTCTACATGGTAAATGGCACATTCAATCTGCAGTGTAAAAGCTCATGCAACCTGACCATGCCATCTGCTGTAGAAGGAGGGAGGTGACACTCTTGCTGTCCCCTGAGCTGATCACAGCACACTCCAAGAAAGACCTAGACAAACTCAAACAAGGTGGGACCAGGGGTGGAGTCGGGGGAGCAGGCTGGCAACAGACCTGGAAGCCAGTCACACAACACAAGGAATGAGCTGGTTGAATCTGGGCATTAGAGAACAGGAGGCATTTTTTGCAGGTAAGAGGAGATTTAGGGGCAGGGTTGAAGGGTTGTGGTATGGAAGAAGTATTAGATTTGCCCTATGGAGCAACAGTGAGTAAAAATGACAGGAAAAGAGATTTCTGTCTCAAACAAAGTAGCAACTTTTTGGAAGTCAGAAGTGTCATTGATCTAAATTAAATGACGCTATGAAGCAGGCAGAGTAGGCGATATTATCACCCCCAACAAAAAGATGGGGAAAAGGTCCAGCAGGCAGAAATGACTTGTCTATCATCACCCAGGAGGGGCATATGAGGCTGTGGACACCCCCTGTGCTGTGTCCAGTGCCCCAGGCTGCTTCTGGAGCCAGCACTGAGCTTCCACAGATGTGGCAAAACAGGTGTGAACAGCCGGCAGTGCCCTTCTCCTCTCCCAGCAAGAAAGTCACAAGAAAACTACCAAAGTCAAAGGATGACGAGCAACTCTGAATATTCTGGGGAAAGAAGGATCAGGCAAGGACCAGTGATTCCCTACGGGAAAGTAATGACTTCTGACTGGAAGCTCCTACCAGGAATTTCTGACAGGAGACCAGGGATTTCTGACAGGAGACCAGGAACTTCTGACAGGAGACCAGGGACTTCTGACAGGAGACCAGGGACTTCTGACAGGAGACCAGGGATTTCTGACAGGAGACCAGGAACTTCTGACAGGAGACCAGGGATTTCTGACAGGAGACCAGGGACTTCTGACAGGAGACCAGGGATTTCTGACAGGAGACCAGGGACTTCTGACAGGAGACCAGGGACTTCTGACAGGAGACCAGGGATTTCTGACAGGAGAGTAGTGGTTTATGACAGGAAAACAGGGATGTCTGATGGAAAATGTTGGCCTCCAGTGGGCTATGCATGGAGCTCTGACAAGAAAACAAGGATTTCTGAAAGAAACTGATTTTTCTCAGGACGGTGATTTCTAAAAGCAAAGTAGTGATTTCTCAGCCAGGCACAGTGGCTCATGCCTGTAATCCTAGCACTTTGGGAGGCTGAGGCGGGTGGATCACTTGAGGTCAGTAGTTCGAGACCATCCTGGCGGACATGGTGAAACCCCGTGTCTACTAAAAATACAAAAATTAGCCGGGTGTGATGGTGCGTGCCTGTAGTCCCAGCTACTCGGAGGCTGAGGCAGGAGAATCGCTTGAATCTGGGAGGCGGAGCTTGCAGTGAGCCAAGATCGCGCCACTGCACTCCAGTCTGGGAGACAGAGTGAGACGCCACCTCAAAAAGAAGAAAGAAAGAGAGAGAGAGAAAGAAAGAAAAAGAAAGAAAGAGTGATTTCTGATTTCTGACAACAATGATTTCTGACAAGAAAACAGGTTGCTGATAGGAGAGCGTGAATTTCTGACAGGACGCTAGTGTCCACCACGTAGCAAAGGGGTTATTCCTGACAGGACGTCTTCCACAGGAATGAGGGTTTCTGTTAGGAAGGACCAAAAGCAGCAGCACAGAACAAACTGAAAAATAACAGGAGGGAATGAGACCCCTTCAGGAAATAGCTTCTTGGGTGTGGAGGGAGGTCCTCAGGAATAAAAAGCTGGGTTGGGGGAGGCTGAAATTGGGGAAGACCTGGGGTCCAGTATCTCCTCTGGCAGAGTGGGGCTGAGTGGGCTGGAGGGAGAGTATCTAGAAGATTTACAAAATAGGTGTGAGCGTAGGTGACTAGGAAATACATTCTCATCGAGAGGCTTGCAGGAAGGGGGAGGGAGGGAGGAGAGGGAAATCGGGTCCTTCTTCAATCCCCTAGACCCAGAGGTAACAAAGCCTTGGTTTTTACTCAGCAAATTCAAAGGCAAGCTTTTGCCCTCTGAATGTATCGCCAATTCTTAGCAAAGGGGACAGGGCAATAGAGAAGTGATGTCATGAGGCTGTAGTTCTGAGGTTATCCGGGAACCAGGTCGGAGCCTGCTTGCAGAGAATGTAGCATCGTGGCAGAGAGGAAAAGGAACTAAGGGAAGCGGAAGTATCAGTAAGGAGCCTCCGACAGAAATGGTAGGCTGGCAACATCCTGATCAGCAGCAGAAGTGATTTTCCCGTGTCCCCGTGTCCCTGCTCACCACCCACGCTCCCGAGAGCTCCCAGGCCAGGCCTCACAGGGCTCCTTCCCTGTGGGAGCGGAGGTTTGCCGCGAGCCATCGCCCGGCACGGGACACGTCTCAGGGGGAAGGAACACGTTTTCTCTCAGACTGAGCGCTCGCTGACCCCGGCTCCCAGGCACCACGTCTACCACGTGACTGGATTCCTGCGGCCGCCGCGAGCCGGGAGAATTCTAATAGCGCAGATGCCCGGAACCGCTGCAGCAGCCCGAGCCGGAAGTGCCAGACTCCTACTTCCCACCGGATGCGGGGCTCGGCAGGCTCGGCAGGCTCCTCCGCAGGCCACACAGCCGGCGGCACAGGCCTCCTGCGGGGAACCCCACCCCACCGGCCAGCCCGGTGCTCTGCCCTCTCTGGGGGTCCCGACCACTGTCTCCCTCCACACCCAAGAAGGGGAGCCTGGTCTTGTCTTTCCAGCTGCCCCCACCTGTCCTCCCTCTGGGGCTTCCTTTCCATCTGAACTGGATTCAGAGGACACAGAGTTCCCCAGCTTTCTCCGCTTTTGATGCCCTATCTGGTCCTCAAGCTGTTTTTGTTTTGTTTTGTTTTGTTTCGTTTCGTTTCGTTTTGTTTGAGATGGAGTTTCGGTCTTGTTGTCCAGGCTGGAGTGCAGTGGTGCAATCTTGGCTCACTGCAACCTTCGCCCCCTGGGTTCAAGTGATTCTCCTGCCTCAGCCTCCCGAGTAGCTGGGATTACAGGCGTGCACTACCACACCTGGCTAATTTGTATTTTTTTTTTTTTTTTTAGTAGAGACGGGGTTTCTGCATGTTGGTCAGGCTGGTCTCAAACTCCCAACCTCAGGTGAGCCGCCCACCTTGGCCTCCCAAAGTGCTGGGATTACAGGCGTGAGCCGCCGCGCCTGGCCCCTCAAGCTGTTTCATGGCTGCCAATGCCAACTGGGAAAAAGACACAGTGGTAGAAAGAATTAGAGATGAGACGCAGACTTGAGAATTCTTTTCAAATTCAAGAGCAGTAGTTTGTCTCAGGAGATGCTGGTCCTGTCTCACTGTGAGAATCCCTATCATAGACCTTCCCGGGCAAAGCCCTTTCCCGGGTTCCTGTCTGAGGAGGGAGGTGAAGCCTCTTGGGTCCTCAAGCAGCGATTCTTACCCTTTCCCTGCCTGGGTCACTGCCCATCCACAGCTTCCCGGGGAGAACAGTGACGGGAACTAGCTGACCGCTCGGAGCCTCCAGGCCAGTCCCTTTCTGTGAAGACTCACAAGGCCTTACTCGTTGCGTAACATCCCAAAGCCGTAGTTACGTCATCTGTAAAATGGAGATAAAAATCCCACTTCACATGGTTGTTGGGGTGATTAAAGGAGATAATATAGGCCAGGCATGGTGGCTCACACCTGTAATCCCAGCACCTTGGGAGGCCGAGGCAGGCAAATCACCTGAGGTCGAACCCTGAGGTCGGGAGTTTGAGACCAGCCTGACCAACATAGAGAAACCCCGTCTCTACTAAAAATACAAAATTATCTGGGCGTGGTGGTGCATGCCCGTAATCCCAGCTACCTGGGGGGTTGAGGCAGGAGAATCACTTGAACCTGGGAGGCGGAGGTTGCAGTGAGCTGAGATCATGCCATTGCACTCCAGCCTGGGTGACAAGAGCAAACCTCCATCTCAAAAAAAAAAAAAAAAAAAAAGAGGAGATAATATATAAAGTACCTGGCACCCAGCAGGTATGATAAATTGGTCCCCTTATTTCTGCTGATGCAGGAAAGCAGAACGCTTGAGAGCAAGGCTGTGGCGGGTGAGGCTGTTCAGTGTGTGCCTGTCTGTTCAGCAGCTGGGTGGAGGCTGAAATACCACATGCCCTCCACTCACCCTGTCAAGTGCCGAGGGTGGGGCATTCTGCACAAAAGCTTTGTCTCTCCTGCACACAGGCACCCTAAGGCTGAGATTCTGCACAAAAGCTTTGTCTCTCCTGCACACGGGCACCCTAAGGCTGAGCAGCACTCTCTGCCGGGTGACTGCGCCAGCGCCCAGATCACCTGCTGGAGAAAGAAAGCATGGCACGTTGAAGGCAAGCATTTGTACTTTGCTCTTTCCTCACAGTTAGACCAGGCTCCCCTCCTCTCCTGCTTGTCCTCAGAGGCCTTGGTGAGGTGGAGAACGGCTGCCATTGTGATGGGTTCCCCTTTTCTCATTGGGGGGGGTCCCTTGAAGGGGGTTGGCCTGCCTGCATTTGGGCTCTGGTAACCACTCTTCTTCCTAGCAGGCTTCCCATTGGGGCAATTTGCAGGGTCCTAAACTCAGAACCTCTACCTTTACATCCAGGGCCCCCAAGAGGCTCTCTTTAACATTATGGACAAACAGCCACACAGGGCCTTTTTTCCCCAGGAAGAAAAGACCAAATGGAGCTCAAGGCCCAGCTGTCCTGGGAGTGGTGCCTCAGCCGTGGCCCTCTGGGAAGGGGTTTCTGTGCAGGGCTGCCCTGAGGGTTACCCTTTTCCATCTTCATTTCTATCTCACATAGTAGGCAAGACAACAGAGAGGATTCAGACAAGATTACAGCTCCAAGGGTTGATCTGTGTATTTCCCTTGCACGCTGCTCTCTTGCTGGCACCGAAGGGCACCCCAGTCCAGACTGGTCAGAAACAAACACTCACAGAACCCACAGAGCCAGGGCTAGACACAAAGGCCAGGCAGTGTGCTTGCAAAACGAGACTTTCCTCTCCCAAAGACTAGAAAAAACTAGGCTTGCAGAAGCAGGAAGAGGCCGCTGGACCTGGACGGGAGGACGACACCTGGATTACTGGGTGTGGCGCCTTCCACCAACAGTGCTGGCCACATGTGAACAGCACCTGGTAGCCTTGGAGGCTGTGAGTAGGGATTGGGGTCAGGAGGGGTGCGGTCAGGAGGGATGTGGTCAGGAGGGGATGTAGTTAGTGGGGATGCAGTCGGGAGGGATGCAGTTAGTAGGGATGTGGTCAGGAGGGGATGCGGTCAGGAGGGGATGCAGTTAGTAGGGATGTGGTCGGGAGGGATGCAGTTAGTAGGGATGCGGTTAGTAGGGATGTGGTCACGAGGGACGTGATCAGGAGGGGATGCAGTTAATAGGGATGCGGTCAGGAGGGGATGCGGTTAGTAGGGATGCGGTCAGGAGGGGATGCGGTTAGTAGGGATGCGGTCAGGAGGGGATGCAGTTAGTAGGGATGCGGTCGGGAGGGGATGCAGTTAGTAGGGATGTGGTCGGGAGGGGATGCGGTTAGTAGGGATGTGGTCGGGAGGGGATTCAGTTAGTAGGGATGTGGTCGGGAGGGATGCGGTTAGTAGGGATGTGGTCGGGAGGGATGCGGTTAGTAGGGATGTGGTCGGGAGGGGATGCAGTTAGTAGGGATGTGGTCGGGAGGGATGCGGTTAGTAGGGATGTGGTCGGGAGGGGATGCGGTCAGGAGGGGATGCAGTTAGTAGGGATGTGGTCGGGAGGGATGCGGTTAGTAGGGATGTGGTCGGGAGGGGATGCAGTTAGTAGGGATGTGGTCGGGAGGGATGCGGTTAGTAGGGATGTGGTCGGGAGGGGATGCGGTCAGGAGGGGATGCAGTTAGTAGGGATGTGGTCGGGAGGGATGCAGTTAGTAGGGATGTGGTCGGGAGGGGATTCAGTTAGTAGGGATGTGGTCGGGAGGGATCCTTTTTTTTTGGCCCTGTGGTCGGGAGGGGAAGCAGTTAGTAGGGTTTTTCTAGGGGATGCAGTTAGTAGGGATGTGGTCAGGAGGGGATGCGGTCAGGAGGGGATGCAGTTAGTAGGGATGTGGTCGGGAGGGATGCAGTTAGTAGGGATGCGGTTAGTAGGGATGTGGTCACGAGGGACGTGATCAGGAGGGGATGCAGTTAATAGGGATGCGGTCAGGAGGGGATGCGGTTAGTAGGGATGCGGTCAGGAGGGGATGCGGTTAGTAGGGATGCGGTCAGGAGGGGATGCAGTTAGTAGGGATGCGGTCGGGAGGGGATGCAGTTAGTAGGGATGTGGTCGGGAGGGGATGCGGTTAGTAGGGATGTGGTCGGGAGGGGATTCAGTTAGTAGGGATGTGGTCGGGAGGGATGCGGTTAGTAGGGATGTGGTCGGGAGGGATGCGGTTAGTAGGGATGTGGTCGGGAGGGGATGCAGTTAGTAGGGATGTGGTCGGGAGGGATGCGGTTAGTAGGGATGTGGTCGGGAGGGGATGCGGTCAGGAGGGGATGCAGTTAGTAGGGATGTGGTCGGGAGGGATGCGGTTAGTAGGGATGTGGTCGGGAGGGGATGCGGTTAGTAGGGAAGTGGTCGGGAGGGGATGCAGTTAGTAGGGATGTGGTCGGGAGGGATGCGGTTAGTAGGGATGTGGTCGGGAGGGGATGCGGTCAGGAGGGGATGCAGTTAGTAGGGATGTGGTCGGGAGGGATGCAGTTAGTAGGGATGTGGTCGGGAGGGGATTCAGTTAGTAGGGATGTGGTCGGGAGGGATGCAGTTAGTAGGGATGTGGTCGGGAGGGATGCGGTTAGTAGGGATGTGGTCGGGAGGGGATGCGGTTAGTAGGGATGCGGTCAGGAGGGGATGCGGTTAGTAGGGATGCGGTCAGGAGGGGATGCAGTTAGTAGGGATGCGGTCGGGAGGGGATGCAGTTAGTAGGGATGTGGTCGGGAGGGGTAAGGATTGTAGGGATGTGGTCGGGAGGGGATTCAGTTAGTAGGGATGTGGTCGGGAGGGATGCGGTTAGTAGGGATGTGGTCGGGAGGGGATGCGGTCAGGAGGGGATGCAGTTAGTAGGGATGTGGTCGGGAGGGATGCAGTTAGTAGGGATGTGGTCGGGAGGGGATTCAGTTAGTAGGGATGTGGTCGGGAGGGATGCAGTTAGTAGGGATGTGGTCGGGAGGGATTCAGTTAGTAGGGATGTGGTCGGGAGGGATGCAGTTAGTAGGGATGTGGTCAGGAGGGGATGCGGTTAGTAGGGATGTGGTCGGGAGGGATGCAGTTAGTAGGGATGTGGTCAGGAGGGGATGCGGTTAGTAGGGATGTGGTCGGGAGGGGATGCGGTTAGTAGGGATGCGGTCGGGAGGGAATGCGGTTAGTAGGGATGCAGTGAGGACGGGTGTGGTCAGGAGGTGTGTGGTCAGGAGGGGTGCGGTCAGGAGGAAAAACCTCACCCGGAGCAGAACCAGGTGTTCATGTCTCTATATAATTGGAGCCGTGATGGACGCCACTCTCCTGAGAGGCCTGACTGTGGTGGGAGTGCTCTCCTCAAACCAAGCAGTTTCCAATGGCAGAATCCTTTAGAAAACAGTAGAACTGTGGGAGCTCCAAAAGCAGATCTCATGAAGGTAGAAAAGAGAATGGTGGTTACCAGCGGCAGGGAAGAGTAGAGGGAGGGGGAGGATGAAGGGGACAAAAAGAATGTAAATGTATTACCACTGAACAGTACCCTTAAAAATAGTAAACATGGTAAATTTTAGATGTCTATTTTACCTCAAAAAGAAAATGCTGGAACAATTTCAGCCAAAAAATAAAAACCCTCAATTCATGAGCACAAAATAATTTAGTTTCTCAGGTGACTGGAATTTTTTTGTACTATTTTTAGGAAGAAGACCTTAATAAGAAATCAAAAACAAATCAAGGATTTATTTTTTAAAACAACAAAATACCAGCAGCTTCCAGGGACTCCCCTGGAGTCCACACATGGCCGGTGCAGTCCAACCCCATTACACGTTTATGAAAGAACAATGGATGTTCAGAAGGATGACCCTTGAATCGCTAGGTCATCGAAAAAAGTTTCTCTTCACTCAGTTGCCAGAATCCCTATTTCCTTTGCATTATAGTGAAGTGGAGCCTGGTCGTATTCCTAAATTAACTACAAGCTCCTTGAAATAGATTTTTCAAGAATTCTAACATCTTTCGGACAAAGGTGACACTGTGTATAAATTTAATGTATTGAGCATCCAGAAATGGTTTGGTCTTTGAGAGGAACCTCATGAGGCCGCATCCTGTAGATATTTGATGGGGATGGGTCATGATGGTGGTTCTCAACTGGGGCGGGGTCATTCCCCTTCGTCCCGGGAGCATGTGGCAACGTATGGAGACCTTTTTGATTGATATAATTGGGATGGGGAGTGGGATGCTACTGGCATCTAGTCGATAGCGGCCAAGGGATTCTGCTCAATATCCTGTAATGCACAAAACAGCCCTTCACAACAAAATTATATGACCAAAATGTCTAGAGTGCTAAGGTTGAGAAACCATGGTTCATGGTAACTCCAAAAGGTGAACCCCAGTGGAGACCAGTAGGGCGGTTGCTCCAGGGCTACTCAGAGGCCTCAGGGCCACACTCAGAAACCTACCCTGTCATCCACCACCTGGGTATTTTTTTTAACTCAAAAAAATGTCACCTTACTCGTCTTCTTAGGATGGTTCTAGGATCTAAAGCCAGGACATCCATCTGCAATGAAATACAACCTTCAGATGTCTGGCTGCTCTATGCTGGCAACAGGGATGCTCAGCGGAGCCGAGAGTAGAGCGTAAGGAGTTAGTTACATGAGTCACATGCCGCCTGATGAACCCAGGTCTACCAGGACTTGGGCTCTACTGGGAGGGCACTGCCAGTGCTCACCTGGGTGGTACTACCTCTTCTAAGTTTCTGCTGGTAACCAAGGTTCTTGTGACCAGTCTTCTTGCTTTGGATGTGTTAATGTTTGCCTGACTTCCACCTGGAGTCAGAGCCCACCTAAAATGATTGCATTGCTTGGCTCTTATCCATTTATTATGTTTATATTTTATAGTTTAATACAGGAATTCCCTGATCTGAGAGCAGAGGGAGTGATTTTGAGAAGCCACCTAATCCATGAGTGTCTAGAGTATCTGTAAGCAAACATAGTACATGCTAATCTGGTACCACTGTTTGTCAAAAATATTCATATGATGTGGCAATTTAAAGAGTAGTCATAATTCCTAATAGTTTGTTGTCAATATGTATTTCTTGGTCACAAACACTAAAAGTATAAATATGATCATGTGGAAATGGGTCTGGAAAATATTTTGAGGATAAAAGCAGGATTTAGGCCAGGTGCAGTGGCTCACGCCTGTAATCCCAGCACTTTGGGAGAACGAGGTGTGAGGCTCACTTGAGCTCAAGAGATCAAGACCAGCCTGGGCAACATGGTGAAACCCCATTTCTACAAAAAATACAAAAATTATCCAGGCATGGTGGCGGCCGCTTGCAATCCCAGCTACTCGGGAGGCTGAGGTGAAAGGATGGCTTGAGCCCAGGAGACGGACGTTGCAGTGAACTGAGATCACACCACTGCACTCCAGTCTGGGCGACAGAATGAGACCCTGTCTCAAAAAAAGAAAAAAGAAAAAGAAAGAAAGAAAAAGAAAAAAGGAGGATTTACACTGGAAAAAGTTGGGAACCACTGGTTTGACTCTCAGAAGGTTAACTTTCATATTTCCTAGTTCTCGAGCAGGGAAGCCCAGCACCCCGGGGTTGCCGCCCCCACCCCCCATGGCATGTGTCTGCTTGCTCTACCCCAGGGACAATCTTAACTCCTTGTATTGGTGTGCTTTACCGTTTCCAAAACATTAAGGAAGGCAGAACAGAGGCTACCACTTCTATTTAGGGATGAGGATGGGACTTGGGCAGCTGATTTGTCTCAGGGTCTATGGCCAGCACAGCTGGAGCCAGGTCCCCAAACTCTGACGTGGGACCCAGAGCTCTTTCCACTCCCCCGAATTAGTAATGGAGCCCTTGGGGGGTCTCGGAGCCACCAAATACCAAACTCTACTCCACAGCAACTAGTGGATGAAGAGAGCCAGGAAGTATTTAAGAGCTTTCAGGAACTAGTCATTTTACGTCCTTCTGAATCCCAGTTAGTTCATGAGAATTTCACGAAGGTAAAGGCGACAGAAAGCAATGAACAAGCCCACGTTCGGTTGCCATGGAAACCCGTGTTTACCTTTGGGTTCATATTTGGTACAATTTCCTGAAATTCCCAATGAGGATTTCAGGTGATCTGGGGGTTCTCTGAACCTCAGTCTCTAAATCTGAAAAGTAAAAAAACACTGAACCAGATTATGTATTTCTGGGTAATTTTACCTTTGACATTCTATTAGTCTAAAGAACCAGATTATATATTTCTGGGTAATTTTCCCTTTGACATTCTATTAGTCTAAATCTGTGGGTTCTATCAGCGTCATCAGAGGGAGAACTCTGTAGAACAATGTTTTCTCTTTTTTCAAGAGACATCTATTCGTTCATTCATGTGTTGATTCAACAAGCATTGATTGCATATAAGGCACTGTACTAGGCTCTGTGCAGATTATAGGCTTGAAAACAGAAAAAGCCCATTGAATACGCCCATGTAGCTAACCTCTATAAGGAAATCAAGAAAAACAAGAAAGTCATTATGACTAGCTTACCTTTGATGCTTTAAACCACTTCTGATAAAAAGTTAAGGACTTTTATATTGGAATGTAAAATATGTAGACTAAGAAAATTTCCTGCAAGTGAGTCAAAAATTCTCTGAATTACAACAGGCTCTCGAATGGCTATAAAGTTTAGAGAAAACTAGTAATACAATACCTTCAGTTTTTTGTGATGAGAATCTAAAATCTTATCATAGAAGCTTCAAAACAGTTTCCAGTACAACTGATCCAAGGGCAGGGAAAAAATATTTGTTTGATTTAATCTAGAGTCTAGAATTGACTGCTGTTCATTAAGGAACTTTCTTTCTTTCTTAAAGAGAACTTTTTTATACAGTACAATTTCATTAGTTACATAATATCTTTTCATTTGATCAAAAAGTAACTACATTTTATTTCTAAGAGAGATGGAATTGATTTGGCAAATGGAAACTAAGAAATATTTCTAGATGGATATTTTGGCTTTTACTATTACACGGAAGATGACAAAATTAGGCAGGAAATTATAAAAGTCTGCAGCTCAAAGAAGGAAATTACTTGTGTGGTATCTGTGGGAGGATTCACCGGGGTGCTACCAGCACAGATAAAGTGAGGGGCTTGGCCAGATTTTTTCTTTTCTTTTCTTTTTCTTTTCTTTTCTTTTCTTTTTTTTTTTTTTGAGATGGAGTCTCACTCTGTCGCCCAGGCTGGAGTGCAGTGGTGTGATCTTGGCTCACTGCAACCTCCACCTCCTGGGTTCAAGCCATTCTCTTGCCTCAGCCTCCTGAGCAGCTGGGATTACAGGTATGAGCCACCACACCGGGCTAATTTTTTATATTTTTAGTAGAGACCGGGTTTCACCATATTGACCAGGCTGGTCTCAAACTCCTGACCTTGTAATCCACCCCCCTTGGCCTCCCAAAGTGCTGGGATTACAGGTGTGAGCCACCACGCCCGGCACGGCCAGCTTTTTTCTTTAGTTTCTGAGCATTGCTGCTTACACCACTACCCTTGCACCACTACACCATGCCCTGAGCAGAGGGCAATAAGGTGGGTAAGATGTTGTCCCTGCTTTTGAGATGTTTATAGTCCATTTGGGGAAGACTCAGGCAAATAACTAGACAGTTCCAGCCCAGGAACCCTAAAGGAGCCAGTAGTTGGGAGCACCTGGGAGGGCTCTCACACCCAGGCTGGGGGACTGGGGATGCTGCCTGGTGGCAGAAAGACAGGGGTCCCTCTAAAGTGCCTTCTAGGTCTGATGTCTTACATGTGGCTCTGAAGAGAAAAAATAAGTACAGAATCACAAGAGTGTGGTAAAAAAAAAAAAATCCTTCGGGGGAGAAAAAGACAGTCCATGAGAATACTGTCAAATTGTCTAATACCTTTATTCAATCGTGCTTGGAAAGAGGAAGCGAGGCAGACACGGGGCCCTGGAATCTGTGAAACACCTACCCCAGGTTTGCTCAGGTTGTTAAGGAATCTCCAGGGACATCCCTCTTCCCATTAGCATGGATTGGGCCTGCGAAGACACCGCAGCTGACTGATATCTGCTCTGTTAGATTACAAAGCCACGTAATTGCTGTTTGAGGTTCGAGTCATGGTGAGGGACTCATCTGCGTTTCTGTTCATTTGTATAGCAATTAATTTGTACCTAAATTAACAATAAAAATAGTTATGTGATCCAATAAAGTAGACATGATGGCAGAAAAAATAACCTCATCTGTTTTACCGTACTAGCAAGGCCAAATCGTCCTTTTCCCCTCCCACTGTTGTTTGTCTCTCTGGAGAAGGTTATTTTCAGGCAGGCAGAGCGGGAACCGGGTGTGCATGCTGGCCCCTGTCAGGGGTCCAGCCTCAAAGGCCACAGACAGGAAAATGGGATTTGCGTGATGTCAAGTATTGTTGACTTGTGAGGGTTCAGGAAGGTCACCACTGCAGCGTGCTCCCAAGGAAGGCCAGGAAACAGGCTCCCTGAAATTGTTTAAGGCGAAGACAGACACAAACTACCCGGGAAGATGTTAGCACACTTGGGCAGCATATGGCTAGCAGACACATTCTGTTTGGCATGAAAGGGTTTTTAAGTCTTTGGGTTTGTTTCCAATGTTTAAAAATTAGGATATTTCACATGAATATTCAGATTCACAATTCTCTTGAAAAGTTGGAAGATTGTTGACACTGTATCTACATTCCTGCCCAACAACATGTGGCTGGAGGTGAGTGGTCACTGTCCCTTTTGAAGTCAGGCAGTGTTTGCCAGTTTGCTTCAGTCCCCGCCTGGCTCCTGCAGGATTTCAGTTTGTGACCCTTGTTTTAGGATTTGCCTGGTCACTTACAGGAGTAACTTGCTTTGGTTGCTGTTTAGGTCGACTTCACTTTTTAACTTCCTGGAGTATTTTCCTTTCTCAGAATTTGAATCTCGGGCATGGAGGCTGCTCTCGGAACAAAGGTGTTACACTTGCTGCTGTGTTATTTCGTTCTGGCATTGAACCTGTTGCCATAGAACCATAGACCTCTCCAGAGGGAACTTACTTTGGAGAATAGCTTGTCCACTTGCCTCTTTTAGGAACTAAGGCTCAGAGAGGCCAAGTGACTTGTTCAAGGTCACACAGCAACTTGAGACAGAGCCAAAACTGGAACCAGTTCTCGTACTTTTCCTACTATCTTTCAGCCTCTTCTGGGGTGCTCATTCATGATATTGCATGACCCAAAGAAAGAATATAATTTCCCAGGTCATTGTGCAATCTTTTCACCTTGGAAAAGTTTGAACATTTGGAGGCCTGTGGGGCATGGCTGTCTGCTCTCCAAGATGACCCCTGGTCACGGAATGCAGTGTTCAAAGCTAGTTTCTGATACCATCTGTTGATTCTAAGAGCCTTGAACTGGGAGTGAGGCCAGCGAGGTTCTAGTCTATCTCTGCCTCTTACCAGCTGTGTGAGCTTGGGCAAGTTTCCTCACCTCTCTGAGTCAGAATTTCCCAAGTGAAAGACAGGAGTGCCTGCCTCACAGGATGTTATCATGATCACAGGACAGAACAAAAATTAAAGTTCTCAGAAAAATGTAAAAAGTTAGATAAATGCAAGTTACTATTATGGGCTATTAAGCTGAGATATTAGAGACTCTCAGAATTCTCTCTTTTCACAGGTGAGAAAATGGAGGCTCAGGAAACAGGGTCATCCAGCCAGTGACCAGTTCAGATTAGCAAGCAGGTCTCCTGTCCTCGCTGCCACAGCCACAGTTGGAATCACGGATCTCAGTTAAAGCCATCTGGCCCCAAGCACGTGGGCAGCTGGTCATGGGGTGAAATGGGAAATGCCCTAACCTCCCCTTACAAGAGTCTGTGGAAGCAGAGTCCCAGCCTCAGGAACAGAATCATTAAATCCTGCTCATTTTAAGGGCAGAGGCAGAGAGGGAAGGAAGGCTCTGTCCCTCCTCATCCACCCAAGACTGGGATTCTGGGTAGCACTGACTCAGAAGAGGCTTGGAGACCCCCAAGAGCAGGCCCCCGCACTTGCTGGTGGCTGATTCCCAGCCTGTGGGCATGGATTTGGGAGGAATTACACTGTGCAAATGAACACGGTTTTTGCAGACTTGTGGGACCTGCCAGCTCTCTCAGTTTAACTAGATCTCTGCAGTGACACCCAGGCATGTTCCGCATTAAATCAGAGCTGGTAATTTCAGAGGGAAACAGCTCTGAAATGGCATGAAAGACAAAAATCTGTTCCTTGCAAAATGACACCATATGTGCCTGCATTGCTGCAGTTAGGGTAAAAGGCTTTTCCTCCCTCGGTGACTCATCAAGCTGCCGATGTTAATGTCAGATTTGCAACAGAACCATATACTAATGGAACCCAAATTAGCTCTAAAATTAGCTCTTAACAAGAAACTCAAGGCCAGCTCAAGGCAAGCAGATTTCTCTGACTGTGAGAGACAGAAAGCACTTTAGCAAAGCAGCCACATATTGATATTCTCAAGCTTCAAAAAAGATCACTCTTTGCTCCGAGTGAATTGCCCAGGAAGAATTGTGCACAGCCTGCTGTCTGCCTATGCGTCAAGAATGTAGCAGCCAACCTGCAGTTGTAAGGAAACCTTCCACAAAACAAAGAAGCTATTGAGAGCTTAGAGTGTGAGTGAGAGAGAGAAGGACTCGGGGGATTGGATCTGGGTGGGGAACGGGGTCCTGGGAGTGGCGGTGTTCAGATTTACAGTATGTTCCAGCATCACTGTTTATCTAACACCTTTAGAGAGCCCAAGGATTACGGAGAAATCAGTTATGGCAAATATCTACATGGATAAACGATATTTAGCAGCTGAAATGGATTATTGTGAGTTCTCTTCCACCATCCTTAAAAATTATGAACTGATTTTTTTTTGTTTTTTGACATGGAGTCTTGCTGTGTCGCCCAGGCTGCAGTGCAGTGGTGTGATCTCGGCTCACTGCAGCCTCCACCTCCCGGGTTCCAGCGATTCTCCTGCCTCAGCCTCCCAAGTAACTGGGATTACAGGTGCCCATCACCACGCCTGGCTAACTTTTGTATTTTTAGTAGACATGGGTTTTCACTATGTTGCCCAGGCTGGTCTGGAATTCCTGACCTCAGGTGATCCACCCGCCTCGGCCTCCCAAAGTCCTGGAATCACAGGTGTGAGCCATCGTGCCTGGCCCCTAACCGAAAAATTTGTTAAAGAGTGTCCTTTCAGTAGCACGTTTCTAAGATATTCACAGAGCAGCAGACTCTATTAACAGGTCTCAGTCTACCCAAGTTTTTGCTGCTCCTGACGGCTCGGCAAGCCCCTCAAGGGCCCCGGCGGGAATTTGGAAGTCAATGAGTCAGCACTGTGAAGGCCACTTTGTTTTTGGAGTTTACTCCAGGGTTTGTGGACCAAGGCTGAGAAGGGGCGGAGGGTGTAGGAGGTAGGATGGGTGATTAGAGCCACTGAAACCTACCCAAGAGGGAAAAAAGGATTAAGAAAATAAAGATGCAGCTGGGGAGTAGGAGGAGGAAGATGGCATTAGTTTAGGGGCAGCTGGCTTGAATTAGGCACCTCCCATCGGGAAAAATGCATCCAACTCTTGTGGATGAAACATTGACATTCCCTTGCACTCAAGGAAGCAGCGCACTCCTGTTTGGCTAAGGAGTACCTCTGAACCTGACGTTTTGGGGCATGTGAGTTCCATTTAGTTTCACACTCTCACCACTGAGCATTTTTGGTTGGGCATTGGGGTTGGCTGCACTGAATAAGCCCTCCTCTCAGTCTACTGGGATGATAAAATAGGTACAGAGATAACCGAAATATAAGCTAGTGGGGAGGAGTGCTCTGAGGAAGGACCCAAGAAACTGCTCTGGGGCTACAGATGAAGGAGAGATCAGTTTTATGTTGCATCAGGAGGAGTCCTCACGGAAGAGGTGGCATCTGAACAGGGCCTGGAAGGATGAGTAGCAATAAGTTATGGGACCTTTAGACCAGTGGAGATCATTAACCCAACATACAAACAAGTCCCTCTGGGACTCAATCCATTCTGGCCATGACTCAAAGCCAGGCTGAGCTTTCCTCTCCAGCTGGCTCCCTTCTCTTGAAGTGTGCTAGAGAAGAGGCAGTGAAGCAACAAGACACAGGGCAAGGACAAGTCTGGCAACCCAGGGTTGCTCTGGATGAAGGTGAGAACAGGGGAGCAGAGACAGCGTGTCCTTAGACAAAGTCCTGGGTGGAAACGAACACTGAGCCTGCCAATGCAAACAGCAGCAGCAGCAGCCACCGATGGCTCATGACTGTGCCTTCCCAGAGCGACTGACAACCTGCCTGTGATTCCTCTGTTGCCTCTTCCTTCTGTCCCTAGGCTTCAACCTGGCAATTAACCCCTTCATTTAGGGGCAAAGAGAAGTCAAACTTAATCAGTTTTCTGACAGCTCTGATACTGAATTACAACAGATTACTTAGAAAGATAAGAAGTCGAGATATTTATTTGCATAGTTGACTCCTACAAAATGATAGTTTTTTGGACTTTGCAATCACACACGAAGAGTTTCTAGGATTACTATGGGGTGTGATTCAGTTTCAGGGTTGCAGTTGAACCATTGCTGACAAATGGCACCCCTTCATTAAGACCCATTTGTCTCCCACTCTGTCCCTCCCGCTGGGTAACTGTGGAACAACGGAAACTCTAAGCCTGGATGAAGAGATGTTGGTTAATGGGTGCAAACATGCAGCTAGGTAGAAGGAATAGGCTCTATAGTTCAGTAGCATAGTAGGTGACTAACAATAACTTATTACACATTCCAAAATAGCCAGAAGAATTGGAATGTTCCTAACACAAGGAAATGATAAATGGTTGAGGTGATGGCTATCCCACTTACCCTGATTTGATCATTACACATTGCATGCATGTATCAAAATATCACAGGTACCTCATAAATATGTACAACTATTATGTATCAATTAAAAATTATCTAAAAATAAAATTCACCATTTTAACTATTTTTAAAAACCTCTGTTTGTGAAGAAAAATGATGGTGTTGTGGAAAAAGCTCTAGCTTGCATTGTAATCCAAGCTCAGCATGAAAAATTGCTGTGTATCTGACTGATTCATTTAATTTCTTTGCATTTACCCTCTTGGGCAATGAAATGAAATGGTGTGTATAAATGCGCTCTGTGAAAGATACAGTACTATACAAGTGCTAGTTGTTAGTAATGATATATGTACCGCCTCACAGGGCTGTTATGAGTCTTCTTTAAGAGTGCTCTTCCAAAGAAAGTTATTGTCAGAAATTCTAGAATCTTCTAGCTTCAGAAAGAAGTGCAGCTGCAATAAAGGTTTATCGAATTATCAACAACTGAAGGAAAAAGTAAAGCCCAGAACACATTGTATTAGGTTAACTAGAATCACAACTGGCAGAAACATATTTCTTATTAAATAAAAAAAAAATCTCTTCAGTGAGACAAATGTCAAGTTCTCTAATGATGTTTATAAATCAATTTTTAAGACGAATAACTTGCTATCATAATCACTCATTTTTCCTGGCACTGCTTGGCAGGACAAATCTCATAAATGCACAACCTTTCGTGTCAGTACAAATAGATCCATCTTCTCTGATTATCTCTACAGTTTAGGACCTGCAGTGCAAAGATACCAACATTAGCGGGCATGGGCTTTATTTGTATCTTTTTCTAAATTGGCCAAGAGCTTCATGGGGTGGTTTGCAATAAACCTTACTCAATAAAACAAGCCCCCTTCGAATATATCTCTCGAACTCAAGAAAAGGACTCCCAATTTTTTTAAAAAACAACAACAAAACTTGTACATAAATGGAAAGTGTATTAGTTCGCTGAGGCTGCCAAAACAAAGTGCCACAAATTGCATGGCTGAAACAACATAAATTTATTTTCTCACAGTTCTGAAGGCTAGAAGTCTGAGATCAGGATGTTGGCGGGTTTGGTTTCTTCTGAGGCCTCTCTACTTGGCTTGCAGACGGCCACCTTCTCGAGGGTCGTCACATGGCCTGTCCTTGGTGTGTGTGCACCCCTGCTGTTTCTTTGTGTGTCCGAATTTCCTCTTATTATAAGGACAGCAGTCAGATTGGATTAGGGCCCACCCTAACAGCCTCGTTTTAACTTAATCAGCTCCTTCACACCCCTAGCTCCAAATAGAGTCACATTCTTAAGTACTGGGGATTAGGGCTTTAGCTTATGAATTTGGGTGGACACAATTCAGCCTATATGAGGAAGAGAGTATCTGTGTAACCTCTGATGAAACAAAATGCCCATGGATATCATCCACTAGACCAGTCAAAGACAACTCACTCAGACCCTTCTCTTGCACAAATTGCATGCCCCGGTCACATGTGTTTTGCCCACCCGTGGGGCTGTGTGTGGCCCATGCATGGGCACAAACAGCGCAATGCAGCACCCTCCCGTCAAAGCGGCCCCATGGGAAGGCGGTGGGGCTTATCTGTCAAGGTCAAGGTCAGCTGTGCTGGCATCTGAACAGCAGCTGCTGAAGCAGTGGGAAGCAATGGGGATAGGGCGGAGAGGACCATGAAGCTTTTCCACAAACCCCGTGGGTTCTCCTCCCCCTGATAATTTTTTTTTTTCTAAAGGAATTTATCCTAGCTAGTTATGAAATCAGGAAGCCAACCTAGAGTTTCTGGAGACCTGATCCCTTTCCCCCAGCCCCAAATCTAATAGACAACATCAGATGGGGAGGACAGAGATAGAAAACATTGTCTCCTTAGCAATAGCCTCTGCCCTTTCCGATTTCCAAAGAAATCCACAAAGCAAAACAAATGTGCTCAAACACCACCTCACCCCACCCTGCACATGGGAGGCCTGGGCCCTGCAGTCTGGAAGCTTCCTGATTTTCCTGTGGGAACAGTGGGTGTGCTTTGAGGCATGCTCCAGAATGCCTGGAATTTTCCACCTGTGGCCCTCCCTGCCAGCTACAAGCCTAGGCCAGAGTGACAAACAGAACCAAGGGAAGCATAGCTTTTAGTCTAATGCACAAGGATCATGCAGAGACTCAGAACTAAATCAATCACGACAATGATCAGAACTATGGTGTGCCTTCTATGTGCCAGGCATTCACATGTATGATACAATTCAACCCTCGTCCCTGCCACCATGAGGCTGAGACCTTTACCTTCATTTTACAGGTCAGGAGGCCCAAATTCAGCAAGGCTCAGCAACTTGCTTCTTCAACCTCAACACCAGAGTCTGTGAGTGGCAGAGCTGGGGTTCGAACCAAAGCTAGGACATCTCTCCTCCACACTATGCTGACTGCCCTGTGCCCAAGCCACAAATAACATAGAGCCATGGGACCCACAGGGCCACAGTCACTGAAGTCAGCACCAGATGGTTCTCTTCTGCCTCTGCCAAGTGTAGCCTCAGGACTTAGCACATGGAAGGCTTTCAACAAAGGGGAATTGAACTGAAGTATCACTAGGTCATGACACAAGCCACACAGGTCATTGGGGCAAAGGCCAACACCCTGATTCTGAACAAAGGTACTGATCGGAGGCCCAGGGGAGCCCTTGCTGGATGAGTAGAGTGCTGGCCTGTCAGCCACAGAGGGGTGCTCAGCTTTGGTCCCGCAGGGTGAGGGGGCAAAGCAAGTGAAAAAAAAAACATATTTCCAGGCCCTGAAGGAATGAGCTACGGTGCCACTCTTCTTCCCCCTTTCCAGTGAGTGGTGCTTAACCCAGGGTTTTTTTGTTTTGTTTTGTTTTGTTTTGTTTTGTTTTGACAGAATCTCACTCTGTCGCCCAGGCTGGAGTACAGTGGCATGATCTCTGCTCACTGCAACCTCTGCCTCCTGGGTTCAAGTAATTGTCCTGCCTCAGCCTCTCAAGTAGCTGGGATTACAGGCGCCCACCACCACGCCTGGCTGATTTTTGTGTTTGTAGTAGAGATGGGGTTTTGCCATGTTGGCCAGGCTGGTCTTGAACCCCTGACCTCAGGTGATCTGCCCCACTCAGCCTCCCAAAGTGCTGGGATTACAGGCGTGAGCCACCATGCTCAGCCCATCCAGGGTTTTTACAGTAATTTCTATTCTGAAACTGCAACTTCGCCAAGAAGACAGACAGTGGAGAGAAGTTACGTCTAACACTGTCCCTGTGTTCTTCTGGACAAATCGTTCCCCATCATTTGCCTTTTGCTTCCTTGGCTGCCAAACTGGGCCAATAGTGCTGACCACATTTTCCCTTGGGGGAAAGCAGAAAGTGTTTACATCCAGCAGAGCTCAGAACTCCTGGAGAAAAGTGCTGGATAAACATGGTACCTGTACCACTCAAATGGAATCCCGCGTTGTTTTTACTTTCACTGCCAAGCTAAAAGTATGTTGCATTTCAAATTTGTCCTCTAAAGCTTTAAAAGCCTTTTTCATTTCCTGAGTGCTTTGGGAAGGAAGGTACTAATCTGTTTTAGAAAACAGTGTATTTTCTCTTTTGGAATTTGGGATCTCTCAATCTAGTCATTAATTTCTACTTACAGACCCTCTTCCTTGGCACGTGTCCATCCAAAGGTTATAGAAACACTATTAATCTAGGGGGAAGTTCTGCCTCAGCCTTTCATCCTCATGGAGAGCAAGTATTTGTAATTCCTCCTTTTTTAAAGAAATCTAAACTCACTTCTTCCTTGAAGACCTTTCTAAATAGCTATTGATCTTCCCCACCTTGGGTCGGCCATTAGTGCTGGGTCCTCAGGAGTGCTTTAATGCCTTGCCTTTATTTGGGATTCTATTTGCTCCCTGAGGCCCTCTGGGGGTCTGCCTCCCAGTTAAGGATGAGCAGGTCCCAGCGGGCTTTCCGGTGGGTCGCAGCACAGCCACATCTCAACCCAGGCCAGACGGTGGGGAAGTGAGCTCGCCTGAAGCCCCCACTGCCTCCTAGCATCTCCACCCACGGCCGGGTTCCATCTGGCTCCTGCTTTCGGTGGTTTGCCAGCAGGCAGGCACCTGTGAAGAGCTAACTGGTAACTAAGGGGACAGCTGCTTGTAATAAGATGCAGGACTGCCCTTGCACCCTTGAACCAGACCCCTCTCAGGAACCTGCAGGTACTCTTTGGCCTCTCCAAAGGCCGCTCGTTTCAGTCCCTCCTTCTCTCCCTTGACAACTCCATGTAGGTGCCAACAAGCCAACAAAACCAACAAACTTCACCTGAGCCCAGCCCAACAGTGTCTCACCTCAAGGCCACACCATTCACCACTGGTCATGAGGCTTCCCTGTTGACCCTGTGATATGGTGTGGCTCTGTGTCCCCACCCAAATCTCATGTCGAATTGTAACCATGTCAGGGGAGGGATCTGGAGGGAGGTGCTTGGATCATGGAGGCGGATTTCCCCCTTGCTGTTCTCATGATAGTGAGTGAGTGCTCATGAGACCTGATGGTTTAAAAGTATGGCACTGGCCAGAGGTGGTGGCTCCCACCTGTAATCCCAGCACTTTGGGAGGCCGAGTTGGGTGGATCACCTGAGGTCGGGAGTTGGAGACCAGCCTGACCCACATAGAGAAACCCTGTCTCTACTTAAAATACAAAAAATTAGCTGAAAACTTAGCTGGGCTTGGTGGCGCATGCCTGTAATCCCAGCTACTTGGGAGGCTGAGGCAGGAGAATCGCTTGAACTCTGGAGGCAGAGGTTGCGGTGAGCTGAGATGGCACCATTGCACTCCAGCCTGGGCAACAAGAGTGAAACTCCGTTTCAAAAAAAAAAAAGTGTGGCACCTCCCCACTCGCTCTCTCGCTTTCCTGCTCCACTGTGGTAAGACGTGCCTTGCTTCTCCTTCGCCTTCTGCCATGATTGTAAGGTTGCTGAGGCCTCCCCAGCCGTGGGGAACTGTGAGTCAAACTTTTTTTCTTTATAAATTACCAGTCTCAGGTAGTTCATTATAGCAGTGTGAGAATGGACGAATCTACCCTGACACATAAAGGCCCTGTGGCTTGGCTGGTGTTCATGGATGTGTAATCCAGAAGAGTGGAGTCTTTGTGCCCCATGCACCAAATATCTCCAGTAGGAGATAGGGGCCAGCAGAAAAAGTATCTTTTCCTCTCCAGACCAAGGAGTGTTTGATATGGTTGTTTTATGGCTGCTCAGAAGATGGCTTCATGAAATGTGCAGTTGTGGTCAATATCAAGTTGTGGCCAGCTTGAAGACATGCCCTTCTGATATATATATATATATATCTCCTGTCCTTCATAAGGATATGAGCTTGTTAGAAGGTCAGTCTTGCCAGGTGCAGTGGCTCATGCCTGTAATCCCAGCACTTTGGGAGGCTGAGGCGGGTGGATCACCTGAGGTCAGGAGTTTGAGACCAGCCTGGCCAACATGGAAACTTTGTCTCTACTAAAAATACAAAAACTAGCCAGGTGTGGTGGTGGGTACCTGTGATTCCAGCTACTCGGGAGGCTGAGGCAGGAGAATTGCTTGAACCTGGGAGGCGGAGGTTGCAGAGAGCCGAGGCTGTGCCACTGCACTCCAGCCTGGGCGACAGAGCAAGACTCAGTCTCAAAAGAAAAAAAAAAAAGGTTGGGGTGGGGGTAGTCTTGAAGGAGGAGCTATTAAGACTCAAAGAAAGGCATTCTAATGATGGAATTATGGACACTGGGGTTGAAGGGGGTAATGTCAATCCAGATTTGCAGAGAGAGGAAAAGAGAGAGGGAGAGCGTGAGCATGTTGGGTGGGAAGGGATTGCTGCTGTCTTTTGCTGCCTTGTCTTCTCACGCCTCCTCTTCCTTCTGCCCTTGCCTCGACCCAAGCTTTTCTCTGCCTGGCTGTGCTGTGACATGCTTTTTTTTCCACTTGTACATTCTGTTTCCCAAGGTGTTTCATCCCAGAGAAACACCTGCTCCCTCTGAAGGAGGTTGCCTGAATTATAAATGAGCCTCCAACAGAGAACATGTGCTCTTTTCCTTCTTTTTCAGAAGAAAAAGGCCCAGACAAGTGTCTACTGAATTTCCTTGTTTTTCAGAAGGAAAAGAGAAAAAGAGGTAAACAAGTGGCCAGAATGTTTCTCTGAGCATCCCAGGACGATGCAAACCTCACTTCCCTTTACCTCAGACCCCTGGTTTGAATCCTGAAGCCAACCTCAGGGGGGTTGTCACTCATTCTGACCACCAATACTTTCGTGTGTTCTGGGCCTCCCCAGCCCTGTTCCTTGCCCTCCCTCTTCCTCTGTGTGGGTGTGCCCTCCTTCTCCCCTGTCTCTACATGTCCAAATACTATGTATTCAAGACTCAGAACAAAATGCTAGCTCCTCCAGGAAGCCTTCCTGGGTTCTCGAATTGGACATGATCTCTCCATCCTCAGTCCTTTTCCTTCCTAATTTCCCTGCCTCCTACGAGTGGGACTCTGGCCAATTTCCCTTAGTCAGTCAGGTAAAAGGCCCTGCTCGTGGTAGCTGGTCAGGAAATAAAGAAGAAAGGCAGGAAGGGTGGAAAGAAGGGGAGAAGGGAGACTCTACGGGCCCAGACAAGTGTCTACTGAATTCAGAACATGGCAGGGTCAGCAGACGATTTTCCTTTCTTCTCCTTTGTGTGCACTTCTGGGGCTGCTAATGACAAGTCACAGCACAGAGTGTGAAATCTGCCGCTCTCCCAGGGGGCTCCGTCTCAGGTCATTCTCCTCACTGCTTCCCACTCCCTCACTGAAAAGCCTGCATCCAAAGCCCATTACTGGCTCCAGGGTGTGGACCTTGCAGGGAAGAACTGTGTAAGGACAAGACAAAGAGCAGGGCTGAGTGCCGAGTGCCCGGTCAGTGGGGAGGGGGATGTGCTGTGGGATGAGGAGCCCCTGGTTCCTCATCTCCTGGTTTTCTCCTCGTCCTCCCCGCCCAGCGAACACCCTCCTCACCCTAACCGTCTATCTTGTTGTTTCCTGTGAGTTTGGTGTTCTCTCCTTCCATTAAAGCTTCCATTAAACCTCTCTGAGGTTCAAGTCTCTGGTGGCCAGACCTATTGTCTTACACATTTAGACAATGCTCTTCTGCTCATGGGCAGCCATCAAATATATGTGTTGACTTATAAAAGATATACCATCTCTTTTTTTTTTTTTTTTGAGACAGTCTATATGTGTTGAGTTATTAAAGATAGACTTTTTTTTTTTTTTTTTTTTTTTGAGACAGAGCCTCGTCTGTCACCCAGGCTGGAGTGCAGTTGCACGATCTTGGCTCACTGAACCTCCACCTCGCAGGTTTAAGTGATTCTCCTGCCTCAGCCTCCTGAGTAGCTGGGACTACAGGTGCCCACTACCATGCCCAGATACTTTTTGTATTTTTAGTAGAGACGGGGTTTCACCATGTTGGCCAGGCTGGTCTTGAACTCCTGACCTCAAGTGATCCACCCACCTTGGCCTCCCAAAGTGCTGGGATTACAGGCGTGAGCCACTGCGTCCAGCCTATAAACCATTTCTTAATCCAAAGAGCTTGAAGTGCAAGGAGACCCTCCCCTGAAGGCAGGGCTGTCTCCTGGAGACATGGGTGAGGCATATTGGGGATTCAAGTGGCCGAGTCTTCTGCTTCATGCTGCCCAGGCATCCTGGAGAGCTGCCGGATGAAATAGAAGACACCCAGATAAATTTGAATTTCGGGTAAACAATGAAAGTAGTATACGTTTATCCCATGCAATATTTGGGACATACTCATACAAAAAATTATTCATCATTTATCTGAAATTCATTTTAAGTGGATATCCTGTTTTTTGTTTGTTTGTTTGTTTGTTTTTGAGACAGGGTCTCCCTCTGTCACCCAGTCTGGAGTGCAGTGGTGCAATCATGGTTCACTATAGCCCCGACCTCCCAGGCTCAAGTGATCCTCCCACCTTAGTCTCCTGAGTAGCTGGGACTACAGGTTTGCACTACCATACCTGGCTAATTTTGTTTATTTTTTGTAGAGACAAAGTCTCACTATATTGCCCAGGCTGGTCTCAAACTCCTGGACTCAAGCAATCCTCCCATCTCAGCCTCCCAAAGTGCTGCAATTACAGGCGTGAGCCACTGTGCCTGGCCCATCCCGTATTTTTATTTGCTTAATCTGGCAACCTTTCCTTAGAGGCTCCTGGAACGCGCCGCTGCAGTCATTCCGGCGCACCCAGTTAGAGCTCCTGCTCTGGGCCACTGAGACCAAAGAGAAATGGTGTCAGCTGTGAGAAACTTGGTAAGTTTGTAGATTGTTGACTTATTCCCTCCAAACAATTTTGCAACTAAAAAAGAAGGAATACTTTTTTAGAATTCCTTTTAAATGTGGGTTAAAATGTGTTTTGTCATATTGTATATGTTAGATATCATAGAATCTATTAAATTTAAACAGGAATTTACAATTTACAAGAGTGTGGCCACATACATTCTTTTTTTTTTTTTTTTTTTTTTTTTGAGACGGAGTCTCTCTGTGTCACCCAGGCTGGAGTGCAATGGTGCAATCTTGGCTCACTGCAACCTCCACCTCCTGGGTTCAAGCGATTCTCCTGCCTCAGCCTCCTGAGTAGCTGGGATTACAGATGCCTGCCACCACGCCCAGCTAATTTTTGTATTTTAAGTAGATACAGGGTTTCACCATGTTAGGCAGGATGGTCTTGATCTCTTGACCTCGTGATCCACCCACCTCAGCCTCCCAAAGTGTTGGGATTACAGGCATGAGCCACCGCACCTGGCCATACATTCTTTACTCTCAAGATTATTCCCCAAAACACCTGGACAGGAAGGTAGACAATCACCACCTGTTTCATAGTTGAGGCACCCAAGGCCCAGGGAGTTAAATGATTTGCTGACAGTCCCAGGAATAGTTACAGTGCAGCCAAAGCAGGTCCTGAGGCTTAGGCTCCTGGTTCAATGCTCCTCACTCCTGTACAGCTTGCCTCCTGCTCAGGCTATTGGACTCCAAGTTAATTAGGCAGCAAAGAACTCTGGGAGGAGCTGAAAATGAGGGGAAGTGCCTGGAGAGGCTGGCATAGGGTGAGCAAAGCAGAATGGCATGTTTTAATTGATTTTTGATTGTGCCAACGACTGCAGGCTCCTAGGGCAAGCAACTGCTGCTTCTGAGTCAGCACCCTTGCGTGAGGCTCAGCCTTCCCAGAGTGCAGGCATTGCTGGCTCTTTTTGTTCTCCCCCGAGCTCTTTGTGTGGGAAGTGGGTCTGTACAAAGCAGAAGGTTTCTTCTTTAATTGGCCAAACAGCTGGGAGCCTGGAGTCCTGGGAATACGGTCCAGGGTCACCTACAGCTCTCCCCATCCTTCCACCCAGCTTATCCTGGAAGCCCCAAGAGACGCAGCTCTGCTGATGCAGCTAGACACAGCTCCGAAGACACCACAGGAAGCTTTGGAAGCACAATACACTTTGTGAAGAAATTTGAAAACTTCAGTGCTACTTAGCAAGTTTCTTGGCATTAGCAGTTATCCAGGGACTCCCAGCGGGTATCTACCCAGCTGGAGAAAGAAATATTCCAACAGGAAGGAAGAAACTCTCCAATCTCACTGCAGGCCTGGATATTTGGAAAGATCTCATCACCAGACAGGGTGAAGGACACTGGACTTTGACTTTTGGACTCACATAGCCAATGGCTTGCTTGGCGTCTTCACAAAGATATCTAACAAGCATCTCAACCCTAACAGAACTCTCGGTTCCTTCCCTCTCATCCCCAACATACGCCCCCACTAATGTTCCCCATTTCAATAAAATAAATGGTTTTGGCTTAAGCCAAAAGCCTAGACTCCTCCTCGATTCCTCTCTTTCTCACATCTCCACAGCCAACCTATCGGCAAGACCTTCTGGCTCAGCCATCACAAGGTATCTCGAATCTGTCCACTTTCACTCCTTCTTCATTGCTGCCATGTGCTTCCAAGCCACCAGCATCCATTCAAACAACTCAGTTAGGTCTGTCCGTGGCCACCCTGGCTCTATGACAACCCATTTTCCCATACAGCATCCCGAGACCCTAGGCGACCTGGCTGCTGTCTACCTCTCCCACAATGAGCTTCTCTTCCTTCAGGTAAGAACTGGAATGTTACATGACCCTGTTCAATTTCATCAGTGTACTTAGAAGAATCAGCCATTTTAATACTCGTTCATTTGTGTTTGTTGTCACGCCTCCCTCATTTGATGAGGGTGGACCATGTCTTATTCTCTGCTAATTTGCCAGTTTGCATGTATGTTCATTTCCCAGGGCACAGTAACAAAGTACCACGAACTAGGTGGCGTAAGATGATAGAAGCTTAAGCCAGGCATGATGGCACGCATCTGTAGTCCCAGCTACTCAGGAGGCTGAGGCAGGAGGATCTCCTGAGCTCAGGAATTTTAACTTAAAAAAAAATTTATTTCTTGCAGTTGTAGAGGTTAGATGTTGGAAATCAGGGTGTTGGTGGAGCCATCCCCTCTCTGAAGCCTCTAGGGTAGGATACTTCCTTGTCTCTTCTAGCTTCTGGTAACTGCAGGCTTTCCTTGGCTTGTGGCAGCATAAATCCCATCTCTGCCTCCATCTTCATATGGCAATCTTCCCTCTGTATGGATGGCTCTGTCCCTTCTCCTCTTCTTATGAGGACGCCCAACCATATTGGAGTCAGGCCCGCCCTGCTCCAGCATTACCTCATCTTAACTTGATTACATTGGCAAAGACTGTATTTCCAAATAAGACAAATTCACAGGTACCAAGAGTTAGGGCTTTTGGCGGGGATACAACTCAACCCATAATAATGTAGCATAGTAGACCTCAAAAACCATTTTAGAAATGAAGGAACAGTTTCAGTCAATAAAAATACAGTGAGCTCACTTCCAGAGCAGCAAATACAAGAACTTGGGGCTCAACATGCAGGTAGAAGGAAGACTGAGACTGTATAAAGCCTAAGCAACTCACTGGAAAGGGACATCCAAAGTAACCAGTTATTTGGCATTGCACGATTTTTTAGGCTCTTAGAACTGAATTTAAAATTTTTCCTAGTGATCTCAAAACACTAGCCATCAAGGCAGCCTGTAGCTTATAAATGCCTCTAACGATACCCTGTCTTTGGCTCTTCACAGAGGAGTGGGCATGTGTAATGGCTGAAGATACAAAAACGCTGAGAAATGATGTGACTTTCCTAGGAAATGGCAGGGCTGGGATGGGGACCCAAGCTAGGCTGACTCCAGAACTTGGGTATTCAGAAAGGAAAGTGATTCTATACATAGATTCCATTAAACACACACACACACACACAAACACACACACACACACTACAAAAAAAGACTCTGTGATGAGGACCCTGTCACAGAACCCAAGAAGGATGAAATCTCAGGGGTGAGATTAAGTCTCAAATGACTTTAAGACAAAGCAGAACGTCCTAAGAGTGTCGCCACAAGTTCTAATGAAACTCAGATATGGGACTGTAAGTCTGTCTAGCTATGACCCTTAGGGAGAGCTTCATGGCAAAGGAAGGTGCGGAGTGGGGGAGGGAGATCTCTTTGATCTGGGTCTGGAGGGGAAAATGCAAATTTCACAGGTGAAAATGCATTCTGAGAAGAGGAAATAGCTTGAGCAAAGGAGATAGAAAGGATAAGATATATTTAGAAATATGGGGAACAGAGGAAAACATGGGCAAAAAGTGAGTTGGGACCATCAGCTGATTCTTCATGAGGACCCTTTAATGGGAGTAACACTGGTTTGGGGTTCCAGCCCCAGCTCAGGTCCCCCCGCCCTGGGCCTCTGGGCCTGTTTTCTCATCTGTAAATGAGAGCGTTTCCCAAAGATGCTAAGTGGGGCCTCATGTTCTTCAGAAAAGCTGCTTTAATAGGTTTTCCCATTCAACTGCCTGGTAAGACTTCATCTTAATGGCTGGCCAGGTGCGGTGGCTCACGCCTATAATTCCAGCACTCTGGGAGGCCAAGGTTGGTGGATCACCTGAGATCAGGAGTTCGAGACCAGCCTGGCCATCATGGTGAAACCCCCATCTCTACTAAAGATACAAAAAATTATCGAGGCATGGTGATATGCACCTGTAATCCCAGCTACTCGGGAGGCTGAGGCAGGAGAATCGCTTGAACCTGGGAGGCGGAGGTTGCAGTGAGCCGAGATCGTGCCATTGCACTACAGCCTGGGCAACAAGAGCAAGACTTAAAAAAAAAAAAGAAAGAAAGAAAAGAAAAAAAAGAATGGTTTTCATGCCTTAGAAATGTCTAAAAGCCATTGGTCTCAATAAACAAATTCCCTCTAACTGTATAATCCTATTTCTTTCTGCTGTAGGCCTGAGCGTTTGTCTGGTTTGTTATTCAAATGAAGCATGACTCATTTAGGATTTACCAGCTTGCTCCGAATTGTCTGTGGCTGTATTAAGTCATTTGACCTGTTTCCAGTGGAAAATCCATTTTTATTTACATCCTTAGGTGAAAGAGCCTGATGGGGCCAAAAGAGTGCTAGGGAGCAAGTCCGAAGCCCTGGCTCCGTGCTGTGATAACAAACATCATTCATAAAGAAGTATAGACCAATGAATATTTGAATACATGCTAACTAGCAACACCATCTTGGGCAAGCCTCCTTGTCTCTCTGACCCATCCCTCAAATGGGAACAATGCCTACCTGGTCTGCCTCACAGCATTTCTGTGAGACTCATATGAGAGAATGCATCTGAAAGTTCTTTACAAACCGTAGAGGGTGGTGCTAGGGGAATCAAGGCTTGGGAGAGCAGCTCTCCTGGTCGACTGTGGCGGGGCAGTTTGAGACCTCGGGAAGTGACTGATTTTCTCCAACAGCATTTCTCGGCTTGCGTGTTTGAAAGAATAAGCAAGAAACAATTAATGCATCTGCTGCCTTTCTTAGATGTTTCACCTCACCCCAAGTCCCGTCTAGCCTTCTCAAGGTCACTGAAATGAAGCTTTGTCATGAAAACTGGCAGAAACCTACTAGAAAGAGCCCTGGCCAAGATAAACCCCAGGAGAGACAGAGGCAGAAGGTCTCTCGTAGCTTCCGCAGATGTTGATCAGTTCCTCACATCATTTGGCCAAGGAATGAACGGGCATAATTTATGCTGCAGTTTAAGGAAGCACTGATTCTTCCATCGAACTTATTCACTGTCAGTTCATCTATTTACCAAAACTTAACCGAATGACATCTCCCTCTTGAGCCCAAACCACCATCCCTACCAGTTTTTCTAACCTTGCATTGCTAGAGCTATTTCTCAGGTGATTTCAATATGCTAGTCTTCTCAGTGAAAGAATTGAAACAGGCCAGGTGCAGTGGCTTGTGCCTGTAATCCCAGCACTTTGGGAGGCCAAGGCAGGTGGATCACCTAAGGTCAGGAGTTTGAGAGCAGCCTGGCCAACATGGTGAAACCCCGTCTCTACTAAAAATACAAAAATTAGTCAGGCGTGGTGGTGCATGCCTGTAATCCCAGCTACTCAGGAGGTTGAGGCAGGAGAATCTCTTGAACCTGGGAGGTGGGGGTTGAAATGAGCCGAGATTGAGCCATTGCACTCCAGCCTGGATGACAGAGCAAGACTCTGTCTCAAAAAAAAAAAAAAAAAAAAAATTGAAACATCAAGAGATTGCAGCACTAGCTGGGCTGTCAAACCGGAATGACAGAAAAAATGCCTTTGTCCAAACACAATCCAACGTTCTCCATCTTATGGAAGCTACATCCCTTAGCCTGGCTGAAAGTGGCTCCAGTCTGGCCTCATTCAGGAGGCAGCAAGGACTGGTGGAAAAAACCCTGAGCTTGAGCTTGTCTCTTCTGCTCTTTATGCCTCAGTTTCCCTTCTGGTCCAATAATGAGGTTGAACTAGTCCTGCTATAAAGCTTCACTCATTTTCTGAGGTGGCGGTGGGGCTGAGGTGTAACACTGGGGTAGGAAGGAAGCTGAAAGGATACAGCAGTTCTGCTTTTAGCAGGTTGACACATTCTGAGTAGAGTTTCCTTTGGCAAAGGATTACTGTGCTGATTAAAAAATGCTTAAAAAACACAGGCCTGGCTGGGCATGGTGGCTCATGCCTGTATTCCCAGCACTTTGGGAGGCCGAGGCGGGTGGATCACCTGAGGTCAGGAATTTGAGACCAGCCTGGCCAACATGTTGAAACCCCGTCTCTACTAAAAATATAAAAATTAGCCAGGCATGGTGGTGGGCACCTGTAATCCCAGCTACTCAGGAGGCTGAGGCAAGCGAATCACCTGAACCCAGGAGGTGGAGGTTGCAGTGAGCTGAGATCTTGCATTGCACTCTAGCCTGGGAGACAAGAGTAAAACTCCATCTCAAAGAAAAAGCAAATCAAACAAACAAACAAAAAAAAACCATAGGCTTTTACCTGATGACTCTGAGGCTGCCCTAACAACTTTCCTTCCCTCTACCCTTGCGAGAAAACGTGTGTATTCTTACTGCAGTGACTTTACTCGAAACTCCCATCCCAGCACGTAATGCTCAAACTCCAGTTCCAGCCTCATCTCCTCCAAAAGCCAACGTGCCCATGAGGCTCTTCTCTGCTTCTTCTAACAACCCACTGGTTATACCAGGAGCCATGCCTGCCTTAGAGTGCCTTGTGCTGGGTGCCTCAAATGTCCCCCTACTTCCCCAACAAGATCATGAGACTGCTGGGGCAGGGACCCAGCTTGGGTCCGGCACTAACTGAGGACACAGGGATACCCAGTGAGTGACTGGATGTTGCAGAAGGCCACATCACTGACAGGGCCCTGAAGCTTGCTTAGAAGAGGGTCATACCCAACTCGGAGCCCCTCCCCATTTCCAAAGTGGGGACTGTGCAAAGAGCAGAGAGCAGGTGAATTCCCAGAGCTGGTAGAAAGTGGAGCGGGGTCTAGGACAACGCAGAATGATCCAGACGGGCTCGGCTCCCTTAATAGCTCCCCAATACCCTCTGTCCCTACTCCCAGCATGCTTTGGGTAGGCTCCATTGCCTCAGGGATTTACATAGGTTCCCTCTCCTCCTCTCTCTTCCAGTCCAGCCATTCCCTCCTGTGAAGAGACCAGATCCTGCCTCTGATCTGTCTCTGTCCCTGACACTGGACGAGATTGAGTGGGTCCCCTCTGCTCTCTGGCCCTCAGCTTCCCAGGTCTTTTCCAGAAACCTGCCACCCCATTGCATGAATGCCTTCCTAGGGTGGCCTGTTAGGTCGATCCTGCCTGTACCCTGGGGGCCTCACCATTGACTCTCCTGGGCTCCACTCCCTGTGGGGCCATTCCCCACCCCTGGGTCCTGCCAGCCACAGATGCTGAGCTCCAGTTTTCTTATCTGTAGAAGGCCAGCATCCCAGCCCTGATACTCTGAGATCCACTCAATTCAAAAGGATCTTGAATCTGCTCTGTGATGCTCTCAGCACATTAGACCACCTGTTCCCAGCCTGAGTGGATATCCCAGGCTTAGCACCCCCGGCAGGAGAGTTGAGACAAAGACAATCTTGGCTTCTCTGATATCGTTCACATTACAGACCAGGGGAGCCTGCTCTGGAACAGCAGATGCCTTGGGGTCTGATGGTATCAGTGACACTTTCTGGGAAATAGACATAATCAGCCTGACCCGCAAAAGAACATCCACTAGAGCTGGGTGCTGAGGGGGACAGTGGCCAGCATGCCTCCACTGTCGGGGGACGTCTGCAGTGTGACCTTGGAAAGAACCCACTCCCTCTTTCCCTCCTTTTCTCTCATTCACAAACATTTATTGAGCATTTCCATGGGCCAAGCCCTCTGCTAGGACTTTGGGCTTCAAAAGCATAGTCCTTGCCCTAGAGAGCCTTGTAATCTAATTGGAGAAGCAGAAATACGAACCTGTAACTATAGTATTTTCCCCCCGCCAAACCCCAGTTTTCTCAATTCAAGTGTTACTCTGTGATACTGTCAGCACATTAGAGCACCTGTTCCCACCAGTTTTGCTGAAGTGGCAGGCCACAGTCAGCAGGTGACCCGCAAAGAAGAGTTAGTGATAAATGATGACTTGAATGGCATTGAGAGCGGTCCACAGTGTGGCTTGCTATGGCCAACAGACTGCTGTGGTTTGGTTCTTGCTCTCCAAATTTCCATTCCCTCAGCTACTGCCACCAGCAAAGCACTCGAAAGCTGTAAAGATTATTTTCAGCATGTCCAGGGGCTCTAAGAGAGACCAGGTGAAAGACAGATTATACTGTTGGTACTAGAGCCAGCACGAAACTCAAGCTCCTCTGATTGTTGGTCCAGGCTCTCTACAGCCCCACCGACTCCACATCCTTCCCTTCCTTGGCTAGAAATTGAGGAATATGAAATACATGTCTGGGTGAATAACAGGCTGTCAGGTTAAAACTGTTCCACAGGATTTCAAATGACCTGGAATTAGGTGGCCTGGGGTAGTACTTAACTAATGTTTTTCTGGCTGGTGGAAAATCTCAGATGTTAGTTGGGCAATTCCTTCCTTTTTTTTTTTTTTTTTTTTGAGATGGAGTCTTGCTCTGTCACCAGGCTGGAGTGCGGTGGCACGATCTCGGCTCACTGCAACCTCCGCCTCCCAGGCTCAAGCAATTCTCCTGCCTCAGCCTCCTGAGTAGCTGGTACTACAGGCACATGCTACCACACCCAGCTAATTTTTGTATTTTTAGTAGAGATGAGGTTTCACCATGTTGGCCAAGATGGTCTCAATCTCTTGACCTTGTGATCTGCCCGCCTCAGCCTCCCAAAGTGCTGGGATTACAGGCGTGAGCCACCGTGCCCGGTGAGAATTCCTTCCTTTCACATCCACATCTTTCTCTGTCTCACACATGCCCCATACTAGCCATCCTCCTTCCTCTCTGTTTCTCAAATTGAAACACAATTAAGGACAAAGAAAATACTCAGGTTATTGGACACATTTGCAAATCTTCACAATCCCACAGAGGGCCTTTAGCCCCCGATGAGAACCAGTGGCATAATAACCCCTCTTGGGAACCAGCGTCATTCTCCCGATTCTCTGTTATGCATCAGTCTTGGTCACCTTTCTTTTCTTTTCTTTTTCACGCTTGTCTCTGCTTGGTATCCTCTAGAATTTGGTTTTCAATGTCCTTGCCTTACATTTGCAACATCTTCAGAGAAAGTGGTCCTAGCCCATCCCAGCTCCCACAGGCTGGTATTTCTAGTTTCCTGGCCAAGGAGGGCACACCTTTCAGGTACACAGAGATACAAAGGCTGCCAAATATTTCTCATTGCATTGTTTAGCTGGAGTATCTCAGGCCAGAGACAGGGACATGACCAGGCAAACTTCAGAGGAAGTTGTGAAGCTGTGAGAGGTCTTGGAATAAAAAAATGGATCTAGAGCTCTTCTATTGCTGAATGGGCCATGTGACTGCTGCCCATTCTATCAAAGTGGAAGCCAAACCAGTCCCTTCCCTTAGAGCTTCCATAGATGAGAGGGTACAGGGAAGCAGGAGGGATGGGGTTGTTTTTACTCTTGCACACCAGCTAAATATCAGCGCTGGTCTCCAGAGTAGAGAAGCCGTCTACGAGAGACTTCCAGGGTATCTGTGCTGTCTCTGATACCAAAGCATCCGGGCACGGCACAGCAGCTCATGCCTATAATCCCAGAACTTTAGGAGGCCGAGGAGGGCAGACGGTAGCTCACGCCTATAATCCCAGAACTTTAGGAGGCCGAGGAGGGCAGATTGCTTGAGCCCAGGAGTTCGAGACAAACCTGGGCAATGTGGCAAAATCCTATCTCTACAAAAAATATAAAAATTAGCCAGGTGCGGTGGCGCGCGCCTGTAGTCCCAGCCACCTGAAAGGCTGAGATGGGAGAATTGCTTGAGCCCAGGAGGCAGAGGTTGCAGTGAGTGGTGATCCCGCCACTGCACTCCAGTCTGGGCGACCGAGTGAGACCCTGTCTCAAAAACAAACAAACAAAAAATGTAGTTCGACCCACAAAATATCTCAAGATTGTATTTGATTGGCTTTAGCTTGGGAATCAACTTTCATCTTCAATGGCACTGCTGTTTTGCAGGACAGCTTTTGACTCGACATAGAACAATATCCAGCAGTTTCTTCCTGACATTGCTGGATGAACACTGAGGCACATGATGAATTGTTGTGCTGAGAAACTCTGAGATGTTGCATGGGTCACGGCTGCTGTGAGAGTGACTCACAGAAGCCCAGACCTGCCTGGGAGGCAGGAAGGGCAGCATTGAGGGACTGACGGGCCCTGGGCCATGACAAACAGAAGCAGATGGGATGAGGCCCACAGGGACATTGTGTCATTCACTGGGTGACCTGAGCATTACCAGAGGCAGACGAGACTGCCAGGAAGAGCACTGTTCTCTCATCTGGTGGGTTTGCAAACCTTTTTCTTTTACTATTTTCTTAAAAGAAACCTCTTCTGAATTCTGTCTGTGGCTTTGGTTGGGATCCAGCCAAGCTTTAGTTTAAAAATAAGACATATTACATTGTTACGGAATTATCAAGCTTTGGTCAACGTCGACATCAACATCATTAGCAAAACATGATTCAGGTGTTCGGCTGGGCAGACCCTCGCACATGGCAATCTAAATGAATAAGCACACTTCCTTCTCATTTTTGAGAATGTAGCTGAGAAGCAAAAATGAATACTGATGTGGATGAAAATGTAAAAGGCTTGCAGACACATACCGTGCACACCAAATTTCGGCACACAACATTAAGAAGGAATAAAAGGTAAGGTGCCTGATCCTTCGTCACACGTGTACCCACCTGATGGCATGCTGATGCCCATCAGTTGAGGTCGGTGGCGAGAGAAGGGTGGATTTGAAGGGTCATTTCAAATTCTTCTGAGTCAAAGTGGCCTAGACCAGGAGCCCCCGAGCAGAGACCATGGCTTTTAATTTTGAATCTTCACCATCCAACCCGGGGCCGAGTAGCTAGGCAGTAGTTTGATTGTAGTAACTCTTATCTTACTGTCATTATAATCTCTGCTGTTGAATGTCCCTGCATCACCTTCTAACTACCCCACCATACGAGGCTGTCATAAATGAGGGTTGATACTCACAGGTGTCTTCAGCTTGTCTCATTTTGTGGGAAGTGCACCATATCACTGTTCTGGAAGCTTTTTTCTCCAGAATTCCATAAGCTGGAACAACTATTTATGAACCTCATTTATAAGAGATGACAGTTGCCAGTAGTACAATGAAATACATGCTGTGAGAAAATGAAGTGTTCTAATCAATTAAACATACGTACAAGGCAGAATGAACTTTTATATCCCTCTAACCGGTACCCCAGTCCCCTGGCCTTTCCTGGGGCCTATGATAAGCCAAAGCTAGGCCAGCTCAAAGGAGAGGGAGAGTAGCGATTCTGTAAGAATATCCATACACAGGAACTGCGCCAAGGGGAGGCCAGCTGGACAGAGAGCAAGGTTAGCCTGCCTTCTAAAATCCACCGGCCTGCTTCTCCCACCGGCCCCCAGCACAGTTCCTGCCCAGGTAAAGCAGAACCCAATGTGACCAAAAGCCTGACCTGGACCCAAGGCATGGCCTGGGAGTGGGAGCAGTAGGTTGAGGAGGTCCGAAGGGGCAGGAATTGGGGTGTGGGTGGGGAGTGAAAGGAGAGAAGGCCAAATGTGGGGGGAGGCCCTCAGGCCAAGCTGGAAGGACCTGGGGCTGAGGAGTGCCCAGGGATTCCCCGACTGGACCCCTGACCTTCCCATACTCTGACTGGGAAGACACAGTGCAATCTTTTCTTCGAGACAGAGTCTCGCTCTGTCACCCAGGCTGGAGTGCAGTGGCGTGATCTCAGCTCACTGCAAGCTCTGCCTCCTGGTTCAAGCGATTCTCCTGCCTCAGCCTCCCGAGTAGCTGGATTACAGGTGTGTGCTACCACACCTGGCTAATTTTTGTATTTTGGGTAGCAACAGGGTTTCACCATGTTGGCCAGGCTGGTCTCAAACTCCTGACCTCGTGATCCGCCCATCTCGGCCTCCCAAAGTGCTGGGATTACAGGCGTGAGCCTCCGCGCCCAGCCCGACACAACTCAATCTTGAAGGGCTGTTTTGTACATCCTTCTGGATGCAATGGTGCATGGATAGGCTAAGAGTACACTTGTGTTATAAATTGAAAACCACTGCTCCCGTCCACTCTTCAGATGGACGTTCTGGGTTTGTTTTACATGTGTTTTTCCTTTCTTTCATAAAAGAAAAGGAATCATGTTGTCATCAGTTTTTTAAAGTTTGTCCCCAGCTCCCTCTACTTTTTCTGTGTCTGATGGGGGCCAGCCAGTCACAAGGACCTCACCATACTAGCAGGGTGCGGCCTTCTAAATGGGCATTTGTGAAGCTCTGGGTGCTGGCTGGGCGGGGCAGGGTCAGAGAAATGCAAAGTATTCCAGGCATTAGCCCCGGAATTTACTCCCAGCCTCTCCTCTGCCCACATCATAGCCCCACCAGGCTGCAGTCTTCTCCCCTTGGATCAGAAGGTGCCCCAAGGCCTCTCTTGGAGATTTTACCCTGTTGGCTCATCAGGAGAGAGGAAGAGAGGCTAGGATCAGAGGAAATGCCTAATGAATTACCATGAGGAAAGAAGAAGCAGAATGTGAGCAGCTGCCTCTGCTGGTTAGGTCCAGAGAAAAGATGTTTCTGGATCTATGATTTAGGTGGGCAGGCAAGCAAGCAATAGGAGAGCCCGCAGCCAGGGGAGAGAAAACTCCTGGGAGTTTCTGCTTTCTGAAGCCGGGGGCAGTTTGCCCAGCCAGGCTGGAGGTGATGCCAGAGGGCCTCGATTTGGGGGTGCCACCTCCTGAGTACAGCAAATGGACCTGACACCCTCAGTGAAGTCAAGATAAGAGGAAGGCTGGATGCCAAATGGGGACAAAGGATTAAAATAGGCTTTGGGGGCTGTTCTAACCCAAGGAGAGGAAACACGAGAGAAAAAAACATCCCTGAGTGACAGCCCCACAGATTCCCAGAAGTGGGATGGGAGTGGAGAGGGCTCATTATAAGCTGTTCCTTTTGCAAACCTGGGTGAGCTGCTAGAGCTTCTAGAGAACGAACATCCCAGGACATCTGGAATGAAGTGGGCGTGGGGAGACCCTATGATATCAACTCCACTGACAAATTGCAGTTTACCAAGCATGGTCAAAACCAGCATCCCACAGCACGTGACAACGGTCCTGGGGCAGTGTCATCATCACGCTGCACCTGTTTTACAGATGAGGAGACTCAGACATGTGCGAGGACTTGGCCTGCATAGGTGGGCTTCAAAGAGAGGTGTGAGGACCACTGGTCAGTACGAGGTGATTTCGTGCTGCAAGGGTAAATTATTATGCTAATAGACACATATTTACTGTAATGAGCTTTTAAAAATATAATTAGAACCACGAAACCTGTGATTTCAAGGATACTGTTATTTTTTTTTTAGGCAGTCTTGCTCTGTCACCCAGGCTGGAGTGCAGTGGCGTGATCTCAGCTCACTGCAGTCTCTGCCTCCTGGGTTCAAGCGATTCTCCTGCCTCAGCCTCCCGAGTAGCTGGAATTACAGTTGTGTGCCACCATGCCCAGCCAATTTTTGTATTTTTAGTAGAGACGGGGTTTCACCATGTTGATCAGGCTGGTCTTGAACTCCTGGTCTCAAATGATCCACCTGCCTCGGCCTCCCAAAGTGTTGGGATTACAGGTATGAGCCATCGCACCCAGCCGAGGCTACGTTTTAAAAGTGAGTTTATTTAAAGTTGGTTTCAACAAAGTGGTAAAGAAATCATATTACATATGGCAATGGGTTTTCCTTTTTTAAAAGTGCAAAGGTGGGAAACTATGTACTGAATGGTGGTAGTGATGATGGTGATGATGATGATGATGATAGCAAACTATCATCATCATCAAGTTTTATAACACTCGGTGCCAAGCACCTTGCATATATTAAATTATTTATTCTTGTGACATCTCACGAGGTAGGGATAATGATGACTTCATTTGACACACGAGGCTTTAGGGAGGCACAGGGTAAGGGTGGAGGGCTACATCCAGGTGCTCAGACCGCAGTGCACTCACTCCTGAAGGCGGCTATGGAGGCCCCTGGCCAGAGGCCCAGGTGCAGGGGTGTTGAGAACATGCCTGCTGGAATGGGGAGGGAGTCCGTGTATGCCCTCTCTGCTTCCGATGCAGAACTACAGGAGATGCCATATTTCACAATGGCATTGCTTTCCAAAGCAAATGGGGACAATCTGGTGGCCACAGTAAGGTGGTTTCATGAGCAGCTCCAGCAGCATTCTGCTTTGCACTTTGGGCAGAGGCTGCATTGCGCAGCTAATGGGAGGGCCTCGGGCGGAATCTAGCTAAGTCCATTTCAGACTGGCCTTGCTGCCAGCCCGCTAAACTCTTCCAGATGATTCTGGCTGGGTTTGAGAGGCTTTACCAGACAGGTTGTCTCTGTGTTAGAGGAGGGGAGGAGGATGTCTGCAAAATGTCTGAAGAGAGGGAAGAAGAGAACTCTGAGATCAGGTGGCTGCTGCAAAGGCTCACATGACGAAGGCGGATTGGGGAGAGGAACGAAGAGACAATAGGGCTAGTGGGTCCTAAGAACCTCTCAGCCAAGAGCACAAAACACAGCTGTGCTAGATGGGTGTAATGGCATGCACCCAGTCCCAGCTACTCAGGAGGCTGAGGTGGGGAGGGCCAATATGCTGCCAGCCTGGGCAACACAGCGAAATTCCATCTCTAAAAAGGAAGCCACAAAGGCCACAGTTGTGCTTCTTACTGTTCACACAATTGGTCAAAAATCTTCCAGCGCATCCTCTCATTCAGCGTAGCATTTAAGAGCAAGAGCTCTGGAATCCTAGATTCACCTCTCATTAGCTAGATGGCCTTGCTGAGGTCATTTAACCCCTCTGGGACTCAGTTTCTCCATCTGAAAAGTAGGAATAATAAAAGTGTCTCTCGTAGGGTACAGTAAAGATTACATGTGATGGTCTTGGCGCAGTACGGGACGTGTGTGAAGTACCTGCTGGTGGTAGCTGTCACTGTTGGCATCCCCCAGGTCACTGCCCCTCTGAGGAGACCCCATCTGGCTTGGATTTGTAAGTCCAGGCTGACCTACCACAGCAAAATTTTAGAAAATTCTTACTTTGATTAGTTAATGTCCCTTTTAATTTTTTAAAAAAGGTGTACATGGGCAAACGTACTGATTTCATGGGATATTTAAGCCAAAGTTAAGATATCAAAGTGGCCAGAAAAGGGTTCCAAAGTTGAATTCATGGTTTTTCTCTCTCAAACCCTGCTTTTCCTCCCGTGTTCCCTGTCTTAGTAAATAACTCCTCTAAGTGCTGGGAGGGTCTAGAAAATGACACCTCTTTTCTGTTTCCAGGTCCTGATCAGACTGGCTACGCCCTCCTTAGCTGACACTGCCTCCCACATTGCAGGCTTCTGAGGGGTGTGGGGTGGATACAGCCGGCCCCACCAAGCTCACTGTGTGGCCCAGAGAGCAGAGAGATCACATCTGTCTGTGGCAGGCAGGGGTGATCTGAAAACCCAAAAGGCACTGAGCCACCCCAGTCCAGTTCCTCCTCCCTAATACACCATCATATAAGGAGCGAGGGGCTGTTACGCTAACAGAAGACCCTCCACCAGGAAACATGAGGAGTGGGGAATGAGTGTTCCTCTAACACCATCCACCACAAACCTCAGAGTCACCTTAGACACACAGTCTCCCTCACCCCTACCTCACTCCATATTCTGCCTGTCACCAAGTCCTGTCAATTTCACTTCCAAACTAGGTCTTGACTCTGCTCTCTTGACTCTATTATACAGCCACTAGTCCAAGACAGTATTTATTAACTCTCACCTGGACTGCTTACAGGCCCCCTCATCCACTTTTGCTGTCTCTGATCTGTTCACACTGCAGGCCCCAACTCTCCTGACATGATTTTTAACAGTTCTTTGTTGCTCTTTGGTAAAAACTAAAATCCATCATGTGTGCCTGATGCCCTGCTGGTCTAGCCCCTGCCTACCTCCCCAGCCTCGGGCAGCACCACCATCCCTCTCACCCCCAGTGGGAGCTCCAGCCACCCTGCTTTGATTTCACGGAGAAGACAGGCTTCATTCTACTCAGAACCCTTTCTCGTGCTTTCTCTCTGCGTAGAATGCCCACCCTTCCTTTCTTCCAACCTTCCTTCCTCCCTTTCCCTCCCTCCCACCGACTCTCACTCATCCTCCACATCTGAACTCAAATGTCACCTTTCCAAGGAAGCTTCCCAGACAAGATCAGATCTCCCTACTAAAGATTCAAGGTTTTGTGATCATTTCTTTCATAGTATTGAGAGTTGATAATAAGATAATTGTTTGATTCTTTGATCAATCTCTGTGTCCCCATGATACTCTAAGCTCCATGAAGACAGTGGTTTTTTTCACCCCTCAGCCCCTGGCATAGTAACTGGCACATAGTAGATGCCTGGTAAATATTTGTTGATTGATTGAATTAGACAGAAAAATTATTGTAGAAAAAAATGTGATCCCAGTGAATGGTTCTGGAGATCAAATGTCCCTTTTCCAGGAAAGTGGGGCAGGCTAGGGAGACATGGGATAGGTTGTTTGTGTGTGAGTGGTGGAGGGTGCAGGGGAAAAGGGTTTGTCTGGGATCAGAGTTCAGCAGCTGGCAGCTCAACTGGTTGCATGGGAAACGTGATTATAGTGTCAGGAGGGATTAATGGAGTGGAGCAAAGGAGGTGGTTCCTGGTAGAGCCCTTCCCAGATCAGATGCATATGGGATTTGAAACCTGGAGGGAGGAACAGGAAAATGCAGTTGTTGGCAACAGCCACAGCAAACATCACCAACGTTTCTCTGGGGTGTAGGCTCCTCCAGGTTGCCGCACCCACATGTGAGAGGCCTTTGTCATTTCATGGGATGCACAGCACCTGCATTCCCTTTTTAGTCTTGGGAAATCCCCATGGCATGTGTCTTTCTGGGAGGCAGCCAGATTTGTTTTTCAAACCTGGTTCTCCAGAACTTTGTGGTGGGTCTCAATGCTACCCAATATCCTTGAATAAATTCCTTTTCTGCTTAAGTCAGCCAAAATGAGTTTCTCTTGTTTGCAGCCAAGAACCATGACTGGTTTAGTCTGGGGCCAGCAGGGAAGTGATGTTCGGCTTCTGCACGTAGCCAAGCACGTGGGTGCCACACATGCAGACACTCCGAGAGTGGACGGCGCCACTTTGGCGGCCTGAAAGTTAGGGGCTCCTCAGGAATGCGGCAGGGGGATGGTGACCATCTAGAGCCAGGAAGAGTCTTTAGATGGACTTGGGTGGAGGCCACAGCAGAGAAATCATTCTATTGTTGAGACATGTCCGTGGGTGGGACACCTGGTACACCCCAGACTGGGGCCTGGGAAGCACCTTTCAGTCGGAGGCCCAAGAACCCACAGCTGGCTCACGGCCTCGTGGGAATGCAAACCCTACCCCTCCCGGGACTTCTGGTACTTGTTGTGCTTTTCCTGAACAGACTGCACTCTAGTATCTGTTCAAGATACTTTTCCACTTCCATGACCCTGAGTCTACTACAAAGACTAAAATACGGGAGGAAATCATCAGAGCCAGAGTGCACTCACCACACTTCCCACACCTCAAATAATCGGATGTCAGAGCAGGGAAGGCCCCTGGGACCATCAAGTCTTGGGGTCTCAGATGTCAGTGGGCCTCAGAATCACCCAGGAGACTACTTCACATCATGGGTTCCCATGGATTTCCCCAAGCCCAGAGCTGATCCTCTCGGCCTGCTGTGAAGCCCCAGGATCTGGGTTTTGTACAAACTTTTCAAGCGATTCTCATATGAGTTGTTTAAATACAGTGATTTTCATCCTTCATCTCATCTTACAGAAGAAGAAACAGACTCAAAAAGAAATTTCCTCCTGACCAAAACCCCCCAGAGAATTGATTGCTGAGCTGAACACTGACCTCAGGCTTCCTGACACCCACTTTCCTAGGCTGGCCGGGCTCGGCTGGGGCATGGAGAGTGTCAGTTGCATGATTTTTCTTCACTTACAGGGCCCCCCGTCCCTTTCCTTTTTTTTTTTTTTTTTTTTTTGAGATGGAGTCTTGCTCTGTCACCCAGGCTGGAGTGCAATGGCATGAGCTCGGCTCACTGCAAGCTCCGCCTCCAGGGTTCCAACAACTGTCCTGCCTCAGGCTCCTGAGTAGCTGGGATTACAGGTGTGTGCCACCATGCCTGTCTCATTTTTTTACTTTTAGTAGAGACAGGGTTTCACCATGTTGGCCAAGCTGACCTCATGATCCACCCGCCTCGGCCTCCCAGAGTGCTGAGATTACAGGCATAAGCCACTGGCCGCCCTCCTTGCTTTTATAAGACGGGCTGCCTGTCATGGGAAAATGCTGAAAATAGGGACAGATACCCAGTGCTTATCTTGGCCAGAAAGGCTGCTATGGCCTTAGTGGAGCCGGAAACCCCGTAGACAAAGCCAGAAATGGATACAGCAGGACCCTCAGCCCAGGTTCCAGTTCTGGGTCTCCCAGTGATGTGCTGTGACCTTGGACAAGTCACCCCACTCCCTGAGTCTCAGTTTTGTCCAGTTTATAAAATAGGGACAACCCTGCTGTCTGCTGTCTGTCCTGCCTACCTTGCCGGCCTCTGATGTGAGTGTACTTTGAAAACTCCCAAGTACTGCCCAAGCAGAAGGGATTACTGACACTGGAGGTGTGACTAGAATACTAATTTCCACCCAGGGTCCCCTGAGGACATGCTGGGCCCATCTTGGAAACAGTAGAGGAAGCTAAGAAGCTGCCAGCAAAGCTGGAGGAGATTGTCAGAGCCTTATGGGCTGGCTGGCAGGGAGAGCCCTTCTGCTCACACAGCCCATTTTCTTCATGCTCCTGTGTCAGGGAAGGTGCCATGGATGAGGACACTCACGGCGGCAACTGTGTGTGTGTGTGTGCTGGATGAGGGTGGGGTATGGGAAGTCACTGGATCAGGGCCCTCCTGCCTCTGGCCTGGTGCTGCCAGGACCCTCCCCCCATCTCTTACAGTGTCCTGACTCAGGAGCCCTGGGAAGTACTCAGAGGATCCCCAGGGAACCCCAGGAAGTCACCCCCCACCCTTTCATGCCTGTTTTGGCTGTTGCAGCAGGTTTGAGAGAGTGGATGAGCTCAGTCACCCTCTTTCCTTCCTACCACATCAGAACCATTCTCCCAGCTGGTGGGAGTCCCTATTCTCTTTACGTTATGAGGATGCCAGGATGCTCACACAATGCTGCAAAACACTTGCTTTGTCACCTGGTCCAAGTCCCTTTATCTCTCTGAGCCTTTTTCTCATCTGTAAAAGAGGGGAGGCCGGGCGCGGTGGCTCACGCCTGTAATCCCAACACTTTTGGAGGCCAAGGTAGGCGGATCACGAGGTCAGGAACGGAGACCATCCTGGCTAACACGGTGAAACTCCGCCTCTACAAAAAATACAAAAAATTAGCCAGGCATGGTGGCACACGCCTGTAGTCCCAGCTACTCAAGAGGCTGAGGCAGGAGAATCGCTTGAACCCAGGAGACGGAGGTTGCAGTGAGCCGAGATCGCACCACTGCACTCCAGTCTGGCAACAGAGTGAGATTCCATCTCCATAAAAAAAAAGTGGGGCGGGAGTGCGGGGAAGCAATTCCTGTGCCTCCTTCCACTATAGGGCTGCTGTGTCGAATGAGAGCAGGTGAAGGCGGGCTTGTTACACTGGAAGGATTTCCACTCTCTTGTAGAAGAAGTCAGGACAGAGGAGGCCTGGACAGAGGACCCACGAGAGGGGATGGTAATAGAAATGTCCTCCACTCCAGGAGGCAGGAGAGCTCTGCAGAGTAATTTCATTCCCGTCTCTAGCTGGGCTGTCCCAGGGCGGCAGGTCCTTTGCCTCATGATGCACCCCGTTCTGCCGTGCTGGGCTCAGCCTAGAGGCTCTGAGAGAAGACGTGTCAGACTCAGGGGCATCACGGTGGTGAAACCCGGAGAAAAGTTTTCAGAGACCTAAGCAGACACATTCCTGGGCCCAGGTGTGAAGTCGTCTAGGCCAGTGGGTCTCAAACTCAAACATTTTTAGCAGAACGCTTCCGTGTCAGATACTTTTTTTTTTTTTTGAGACAGGGTCTCACTCTGGGGTCCAGGCTGGAGTGCAGTGGTGTGATCATAGCTTACTGCAGCCTCCAACTCCTGGGCCCACCACAGCCTCCTCAATAGCTGGGACTACGGTGCCACCATGCCCAGGCTAGATACTGCTGAAGAATCACTGGGACTTTAGGAAGTTCCGCTGATTTATGGCACAGATGGGGAAATGAAGCTCAAAGAGGGGATGGAATGTGACCAAAGCCAGGCAATAAACCAGTGGTTAAAACAAACAAACAAACAAACAAACAAGCAAACCCACTTCAAACGCAGAGCTAACCCTCGGCACAGGTGCGCTTCAGAGAAAAATGGAAAGGTTCCTTCATTGAGGGGTCTTTTACACAGCCAGAGGATGGAGGCTCACAAAGGGGCTAGCGGATAGGTAAATAGGGGCCATTTATTGACATAGTTGCAATAAACAAATCTTACTGGGCAAGCAGGAAACTCATGGTCTCCTTTGAAAATGGAGGTGTTTCTCAAGGTGTGCCTGAGGCACTGAGCCCCTTTCTGAAATAAAGCAGAAGCAGGTGAAGCAGAACAGGACAAATGGACATTCCTTCCAGCTGCTTCAGCCCTGGCCCCCTTCCAGTCTCCCCAGAGCACTGGTGGCCAGGCTTTGCCAGTGGCCAGCGGGAGACTGACCCAGCCGCACAGAGGGCCCCAGGTGTCTCTCAGCGGTGGCCATAGGACACCTGAATGAGCCTCGAGCCAGAGAGAGTGACTTTTTGGCGGGGCTCTGCAAGTGGCTTTCTGCCCACAGCTCAGGGGTGGGAGTGAGGAGTCAGACCTCCAGATCCCTCCACCACGTTCACTCGGGACAGGTGCATGAACGGCGGCGCGATCCGCACAGGCGAGGAGACGACCGATGGGGGCGGACAGCCGGACGCACGGCTGCGTCACTCACCCTCAGCGACCAGGGCCCCACGTCCCTAAGCGCGGAGCTGGGGGAGGGGTCGGCCAGCTGCAAGGCCGCGGGGCCGGGAAGGGCCGGGAGGAGGCGCCGGGGCGGCCGGGGCTCCCAGGGAGCCGCTGAGTGGGGGAGCCGCGCGCAGCATCTGGGCCTGGGGCGGGCGCCCGGGGAGCGCGGGGTGTCGCCAAGGGGGCCGCACGACCCGCCCGCGGTGAGCGCAAGGCCCGCGTGCCCCAGCTCTCCTCGGTGGGGATTTTCCTCACCTGGAAAACACACGGGTTATGGAGGGGGTGGTGGTTAATCGTCGCACGGGGAAACCGGCAGACAGGTTCTGATCGAGCCCTTCATCCCAGTCACAGGTGGCAGGTGCCGGGCGCCACGACCTCACTGTGCAGGGCGCACGCTCTCTCCCCGCCCTCCCACACCCCAGCGGCCCCAGGCCCTGGGGGATTCTCAGAATGTTCCACGTGGAGCAGCGCTTGGAGAGCCCCTCCCCTAAGGGCGGGTGGGGGGAGGAAGGGCGAGGGTTTAGACCCCCACCCCCATTCCACCCAAGCACCCCCACTTTGTCTTTACTGCATTGAGACTTTGCCTGAGAGGTCATTTAACCCAGGGCCGTGACTAAACACAGCTGCCAGGTCCTCTTTCAAGTCTCATTTTGACTTCGTGGTGCACGCATGACCTTGGGCCACTTAGAAACCTCGGTGTCTCAGGTTCCCCACCCATAATAGTAATAGTACCTCCCTCATAGGGTCCTGGGAAGGATGAGTGAATAAACGCTTGTGAAGTGTTTAGAACATAGTGAGTCTGGATGACTCAACAGATTGTTTGCTGGTGAGCTGGGTGTGGTGGCCTACGCCTGTAGTCCCAGCTACCTTGGGAAGCTGAGGTGGGAGGATCGCTGGAGCCCAGGCGTTCAAGGCCAGTCTAGGCAACATAGCCAGACCTTGTCTGTGAGGAAAAAAAAAAAGATGTGTTAGATGTTGCTGTTATTATTATTACTATTGTTTTCCAATGAGGAGAGTGAGGCCCAGAAAGGATAAGGCGTTTGCTGCCTGGACGATGTGGCCAGTTGGTAGTAGAAGAGGGAATAGTAACAAGGCTTCCTGGCTGCCCAGATGGAATCCATTATTTCTTGGACATTTAGTGGTTGCTGCTTCATGGATATCTTTGAAGCTAAACAGATTAACAAAAGCCCACTTGGTGGTAGGCCATGCTGCGTAAGGAGCCTCTGGTACCACCTCCATGATCCTCAGGAACAGGAGGAGTGAGGAGAGGAGGAAGAGGGAGAGAGAAAGGAAGGTGGGGATAGAGGGAGGAGGTGGAAGAAGAGGAGTCTTGAGTCTTCTTAGCTCAGCCACTAAACGGGAGGTGGTCTCACTGGGGATGCTTCTGAGAGGACACTTTCATTAAGAAGAACTAAGCCAGGCATGGTGGCTCACACTTGTAATCCCAGCACTTTGGGAGGCCGAGGCAGGTGGGTCACCTGAGGTCAGGAGTTCAAGACCAGCCTGGTCAACATGGTGAAACCCCGTCTCTACTAAAAATGTAAAAATTATCCTGGTGTGGTGGCAGGCACCTGTAATTTCAGCTACTCGGGAGGCTAAGGCAGGAGAATCTCTTGAACCGAGATCACACCACTGCACTCCAGCCTGGGTGACAGAGTGAGACTCCATCTCCAAAAAAAAAAAAAGAACTAGGCCAGGCATGGTGGCTCACACCTATAATCCCAACACTTTGGGAGGCCGAGGCAGGCAGATCACCTGAGGTCAGGAGTTCGAGACCAACCTGGCCAACATGGTGAAACACTGTCTCTACTAAAAATACAAAAAAAAAAAAAAATAGCCAAGTGTGGTGGCACGTGCCTGTAATCCCAGCTACTCAGGAGGCTGAGGCAGGAGAATCGCATGAACCCAGGAGGCAAAGTTTAGAGTGAGCTGAGATTGGGCCACTGCACTCCACCCTGGGTGACAGAGCAAGACTCCATCTCAAAAATAAGAAGAAGAAGGAGAAGGAGGAGAAATAGCCCTCTAAAATATTTCAAGTTTAAGAATTTTGTTCAGAGAATAAGGATGAGAGTTTGGTTGCCTATTGTCTCAGCCTGTTTTGTGTTCAATTTTGGCTCAGTCCCAACCTCATGAATCTCTCCTTTCAATCAAAGAGGAGCTGCCTCTTCATAGCCCAGGTGATGTCAGGGAGGCTGTGGCCAGCATGGCAGGAGCCCTCTTCATTGCCTGAGGAACAGTAAGTGCTTGCACCCAGCAGTTAGAGACAGTCTGGTTCTGAATCCTGTCACTTTCTAACTAGGAAAGATATTTAAACCTAAGCTTCATTTTAGTTATCTATAAAATTGGGATTATAAATCTTGCCTTATAGTATCACTGGGAGAATCAAATGGGATAATGCATATAACATGCTTAACCCAAGGCCTGGCGTGTAGGAAGCACTTAATAAATGCTTATTACTTAGGATCAGATGTGGCTTCCTGCCCCCATGTGTATGCGATGGCTTCCTCATCTCCTGTCCAACTGGACTAGGGGTTCAGTTAGGATTTGCTTTGCATACAAGGAAATAATTCCAAAACTGTAATAATGCAGAAAAGGTGGAAGTTTATTTCTTCTCACATAAAATCTGAATGAGGGGTCAAAGGTGGAATGTGGTTCCCCAGTGTCTGGGATCCAAACACTATCTTGTTGCAATGTCATAAATATCTTGACTTTATGGCCCAAGATGGCAGCATCCCAAGTTCCAGGCTGCAGGATGAAGTGCCGAAGGAGCCAAAGGAGATGCATATAAGCTCCCCTTAAGGAAGGTTCCTGGAAACTGTTGTACCACCATTTCTGCTTACATCCCATTGGCCAGAACATAGTCACATGACTACCCCCTAGCTGCAAGGGAATCTGGGGAAATGTAGTCTTTATTATGGCAGCCATGTGCTCAGCTGAACATTGGTGGATCTATCCCTATAGAAGGGGAAAATGAATTATCAGGAACATGCAGCAATCTCTGCCCCCAAGTCCCAGCTTGTCTAGGCTAGCTAGGCACCTGGAAGCCAAGTACCTGAGCACTAGAAAACCGGGATGGGGGCATGCTGCTTCTCCTCAGCCACCCCCAGTGGCTCAGTCTGCAACTGAGAACATGGAACTGGAACCGAAACTTAGGCCTCTTGCCATGGGTCTGAGAAAGCCCTGCCCTGTTTAATCACCTCCCTGACGCGTCCCAGCCTCAACACTAAAGGCAGGAGGGATACTAGAGAGGCAGCTGACTGCCCCCTCCTGGCCAAGGAGAGGACAGTGAGCAAAGCTGCAGCTCCGAGGGGCAGAGGGCACAGCAAGCTGGCAGGCTTGGCACAGCCTGGTGGAGTCGCCCACTGCAGGACACACAACTACAAATTGTGGGAAGGCCGGGCCACCAGCCAGTGCCACAATCCAAGTGCCTAACTGGAAGGATCTGCACTGGGGGCTCCGCCCTTCTTCATCCTGTTAATGAGAACACTCGAGCAGGCCATCTGGCCTTTGCCAGGCTCCCAGCACACCTGTCTCCTCTCTGTCCTGATGTCTCTGAGAAGGGGAGGAAAACTTGCCTGCATCTCCCCACACTGGCACTTCTGAAACAAGCCCTCCGGCCCTTTCTGCTCCCGGAGTTTCACTCCTAGTAGCCACCAGGGGACAGAAAAAACCACAGCCACAGGTGCTCCAGCTCTCCCTCTCCCAGGCCTAGCCCCAGGTCTGTCACTAACTCGGGATGCAGCATCCCCGTCTTCTCTGACCCCCCTTTTCCTTGCTGTGCCTTGAGTCGCTTTTTAGATATAAGTTTCCTGGGCTCCACTCAAGACTTACTGGTTCTGTTTTTGAACCAGTTTCCCAGGAGATTCATGTGCGGTGCGTTTAGGATCCAAGGGGCTGGACGGCTTTCACAGTCCAGCTTAGAGTGATCTGGTTCTGACAGGACAGAGCTGTCTGAACAATGTCCTGGGGGATGGGGCACTCCTAACAGCCCTTTCTTCCCAGGGGCTGGAGTTCTTCAAGCCTCCCCAAATTATCCACTTTCCTTTCAGAGTCCATCCCCCTGAGGTGCTAAGCCATTCTCATCCTGCTCTGCTAGCTGGGAAATGTCCCGTCAGGTGCCCCACCTCCTGTTTCTATCTGTCAAAACCCTCTTCACTTGTCAAGTCCCAGCTGAAACACAACCTCCTTTAGGGAGCATCCGTTACCTCCCCAGTGAGAATTTCCTGCTCCTTCCTGGGCTGCCATGAACTTTGCTCATACATCCACTATAGCCCAGGCTGTCCTGAGTGACAGCTCTCCAGGTTGGTGCGTCCTATCTGCTCCACCCCCTCACGCCCTCAGCCCCACAGGACTGGGAACTCCTTCAGGCTGGGAATCAAATCTTACCATAGATATCCTGCAGCCTGATTATAGATCACTCTCAACCCTGAATGCTTAAAGAGAAAACACAGGAAGCCAGGGCCTGGGTAGGACAAACTGAGTGCTAACAGAAAGAGTCCAGGCCGGGCGCGGTGGCTCACACCTGTAATCCCAGCACTTTGGGAGGCCGAGGCGGGTGGTTCACGAGGTCAGGAGTTCAAGACCAGCCTGATCAAGATGGTGAAACGTCGTCTCTACTAAAAATACAAAAAATTAGCCAGGCATGGTGGCAGGCACCTGTAATCCCAGCTACTTGGGAGGCTGAGGCAGAGAATTGCTTGAACCCAGGAGGTGGAGCTTGCAGTGAGCAGAGATCGTGCCACTGCACTCCAGCCTGGGCAACAAGAACAAGACTCCGTCTCAAAATAAATAAATGAAGATCCCAAACACAGATAACCAGGGCAGGAAGAACTGGTCCATTCCCCTCCCCTAAGCTGAATGAATGAATGGGCTGATCCTCCTGGATGATTTTGAGGGTTTGTATTCCAGAAAAAAGAAAAACAAAAAACCCCTTCTTTGTCTAGGATGGACTTGTCTAGGCTTTTAGGCTTAAGGCCTTCTGGCGAATAATTTCTTAATCCACTCAGGAAATCTTCAGGGATTTCCAGTCAGGTGGTGATGCAGGGCTGTGGAGTCTGTTCTGCACTTAGCAGTCAGGAAGGGGGCCTGCAGAAGGCAGTGCCCTCCTCTGCCCTAGGCCTCTAGGATGAGCCTGAAAGTGGGCTCTGGCTGCTGTGGTTCAACCCTGAGTGGGTCCCCATTTCTGTCTGTGCCTCTAGAACACCCTTGGGCTACAGTGTCTGCATTTCTCAGAAAGGCTGGGGTGGGGACGGGAAAGAATTTTTTAGGCGGTGACTGCAGCAGCCGGGGCACCTACTGAGTCCCCGCGTTGTGCCAGGCGCTGGGCTGGAGAGCTTACCCACTCACCTATCTACACAACAACTCTGCAAAGTACAGACGGTTATCCCCATCACAGACAAAAAGACATCGAGGTTTGCAATGCTCGCTGGCAGCAGCCCCAGTGTTAGTGTTAGTGACCCTCCCCACCCCGCCCAAAAAAAGAAACTAAGGCTCAGAGAAAGTAGATAACTTGGCAGCATTATGCAACCAGGAAGTTGCAGAGCAGGATCAAAGTTAGGTGCATCTGGCTCCAAAACTTCTGTTCTTTCTAACTGACCTCACCCAGAACACAGTTGCCAGCAAGGCCTGCGTCTGTCCCCATCCCTCCGTCTGCAGGGTCTCTGAGGTCTCTTTCACCTCTAACAGGGCATCACCTGTGGGCTCTCTTTCTCAGGGACCACCTAGGTAAATCCACACAGGCGAGGAGAGGACCAGCAGGCACTAAAGCCAGACACACAGCTCTGTCACTAACCCTCAGTGACCAAGGCCCCACTGTCACTAAGCACATAGCAGCGGGGAGGGGTTTGCCAGCTGCATGGCCAGAGGAGGCGGGGAAGGGGAGGGAATTGGAGGGCCTCGGGGGGCGAGGGCAGGAGAAGCGCGGACCCTCCAGATGTGCTGTTTCTTTCTCTGCTGCAGTAACCCGAGAGCCTATCTATCTCTTTTTAATGTTCTGCTGTTTTCTTTCGTCGTACACTTAACCGCACAGAAAATAAGCCCTAGGGCTGAAAACTCCAGCTTGTCGTGGTGCTGGCAGTGGTGTGCGCTCTTCCACATCTGGGTGCAGCCTAAGCCTCTTGTCCGGTTCTGCCCTCAGCCTCCACACCACGTGCCCAGTCCCACATATCCAGAGCCCCCTGCCTGGTTATTCTCCAAGCAGTCCCAGCACCGCCTGCTTGGCAGCCTCAGGTTGTTGGCCTCTGGGTTTCCAGGGGCCCTTATATTTTATTATTCCTTTGACAAAGTCATGGGACTCCCTAAGTAAGGAGAGACCCCTGCCCACTCACACCTCTCGCATCAGCTGTCCATGAGGGGCTCCAAGGCTGTGCGGGGAAGAAGACAGACTGTGTTAGATTGAAAATGAGTATTTTTATTTACATGTGATGGAATCGAGCCTCTCACTTCCCGGCCCAAGTCATGCCCACGGTTACCCTGTGTCACCCTGGGCTAGACAGTGAGCTCTGGGAGGGCAGTGGGCTGCCTGCTGTCGGACGACCGTGCCTAGACAGGGCACAACGAAGAGATTCAAGTAATAAAGGGGCAGAGGGAGAGGTAGCAGCTGCCGTCCGGCACAGGGCTGCCCCTCAGAATGTGACACTAATATGGCACTGGGACCATCGGCAGCTCCTCCGCCCTTCCCATCACAGCCCCGGAAGTCCCATTGTACCTCCATTGGAACGAGAGCCCATCAGTCCCGCCAGCCTGCAGGGAAGAGTCTGATGCCCCTCGTGACATCACCGAGCTCTCCCGACTCCCTAGCGGCCTGCTGCTGTTGACCCTGCTTCCTGAAGGTGCCCCGAGTCTCCATAAGGCACAGGCTTCTCTCCCCGCACCATGCTCCCTGTTTCTTACGGCAGGTCCCACACCACTTTGTCCACCTCTGGTCGGACATTATGAGCCAAAACCTTTATCCAGAACACGATGTAGGTAGGAGAAAGAGAGGTTGCAGCAGAGTAAATGACCCAGTCACAGAACACGTGGCCAGATGGCCCCGCAGAGCACTCACCGGCTGAGAGTGGCCGGAGGGTGGTGGCCGGTACAGCAGTGTACCCAGTGCAGTCCACCACGCCCGCACTTGTCTGGCAGCAGAGTTGAGCGGCACTTCCAGGCCCCAGGAACCACGGGCACTTCCTCCTGAAACTGGGGTGGCTACAGCTGAAGCTGAGAAGAGCAACCAGCCTGCTGCTATTTCTGAAGGAGCCCAGTGTGGTTACTCAGTGTGCTGTAATTAAACTCATCTATAATTTGATAAGTGGGAGTAGCCTTACATTTTAGAGAGTAATTAAGTCTCACCAAAGGAGAAGCACATGGTGCTTCTGGGACCCAGCATCTCCTGAGGTTGGTCCCCATTCACTCTCCCTGTCTCTACACATCTCCACAGATGCTGAGGCCGCCAGGGTAGGCCTCAGCCACAGCTCTCTCCACCCTCAGGCATTCCATCGACATCCAGGCCCCTGGGAGATAGCACAGACACTGCAGACACACGTGCGACGAGACAGGGAAGCCTGGGCCTCCCTTTCCAGGCTGCTCCGCGAAACTGCGGACTAGGAGGAAGCTGGCTGTCCTGCTTGCCTGCCTGCCTGCCTGCCTGCCTGCCGCTCCTTCGCCACGTGCAAGGCGAGGTTCTGACTGCGCTGAGTCCAGCCCAGCTCTGGGCCCCAGTGTGGAGACTGAGGCAGCCTGAGGGTAAAGGAAGGGGCTGCGGGTATAGAAGTCAGATGGGGCTGGGTGCAGTGGCTCACGCCTGTAATCCCAGCACTCTGAGAGGTCGAGGCAGGTGGATCACCTGAGGTCAGGGGTTCGAGACCAGCTTGGCCAACATAGCGAAACCCCATCTCTACTAAAAATACAAAAAAAAAAAAAAAAATTTAGCCAGGCATGGCGCACACCTGTGATCCCAGCTACTCGGGAGGCTGAGGCAGGAGAATTGCTTGAACCTGGGAGGCAGAGGTTGCAGTGAGCTGAGATCACACCACTGCGCTCCAGCCTGGGTGACAGATTGAGACTCTGTCGCAAAAAAAAGAGAAGCCAGATAGCCGAGGTCTGGATCTTGTGGGGTCTGGATCTTGTGAGGTCTGGATCTTGCAGGGTCTATATCTTGAGGGGTCTGGATCTTGCGGGGTCTGGATCTTGTGGGGTCTGGATCTTGCGGGGTCTGGATCTTGGCTCTCTCGTTTCCTGGCTCTGTGATTTTGGGCAAATGACTTCACCTCCCTGAGGCTCAGTTTCCTTATTTGTAAAATGCAGACAATGGCACCGCCTAAGATATAATCCGTTTATGCAGATCAGATGAGAGATTTGCCACGAACTCACTTGAGTAGTTGGGAGGGGCACGTGCATGTGAGGAGTGTCAGCATCTCACCAAAGCTAGTAAACCTGTCTCAGAGCGCTTGGCGGCTTGAGGGGAACTCTAAAGACCATTCAGCCTGGTGTGTGTCATCAAGAATGAGGGATTGGATAACCACAGCTGAAACCTGTTCAGACAGCGAGGAGATGGAAATCTTGTCAAATGGGAGACCTGAGCTCTTAAACCTGACTTGGCCACTTCCAAATATCTGGAAGTCTATTTCAGAAGAGTTAAATTATTCTGTGCAGGTCTGGGTCATAACCAGGTGCCAAAAACATTAAGTGAGGTGGTAGATTTCGGCTCAGTCTTTGGATAAACGTTTCTGAACCAAGGAAATGGCTTCTTAGGAAGTAATGCACCCCCTGTCACTGGAGGGCTTCAAGCCCTGGCTAGCAGGCTCCTCATCCGGGAGCCTGGGAGTCAGGCATGATGATGGCTGAGTCCCCTTTCCTCCCCTGGGGTTGTGGGGGTCCTGGCAGCCTGTCCCAGCCCTGGTCCCTTGCTCAACAGCTGCCCACCCCGTGCCTCCGAATGCGCCACTCGCAAGTCACCCTTCCTTAGTGCCCGCACACACCAGAGAGGCCTCATATACTGTGGGGTTGTTTCATCTCCCCCAGAGCACCAGAGCCCCTCAGCCCTCTTGCTCTGTCTCTTTGAGCAGAAATCATCACTAACTTCTCAAGCACGGCGCTCATATAACCCTCAAGCCCTTTGAGGGCAGCTCCAGAATCCAGCTCTGCCTGCTTGGTCTTTGAATTCCTAGAGCCTGCTCTCGGGAATGGCCTTGACAGAGCCGACTTCCCGCTGGAAGGATACTGGGGGCTCCTCCAGCACATTCTCTCACAGGGGGCAGCACTTAGAGCCCAAAACGGGAAGGGAAGGAGGGTCTGGCTCGAGTGGCAGGACCCCATGGTTGCTACTGTGCGTAGGCTGAGAGTCTCCTCGCTGTTACGTAACTGAGGACTTCTTCCCTCCCTATTTTAGATCCTGCTGCCATCTGCCCTGATTTTCCGCATCACCAGCTCTGGGCTGGAGGTTAGATCTGGCTGGACACCCAGCTCTACCCCTCACTTGGTGACAGACTTGGGAAAGCCTGTTTCTGCAAAATAAGATAACCCCACCCTGCCTATCCTGCCTGGGTTGCTGTGAGAATCAGGTGAGAGGAAGCTGTGGTGGCTGGGTAGCAGGACCTGCACTTGGCCCCTGTGCCTGGTTGCTGTCTGGCCAACCCAACCTGGGGCTGCCTGAGCCAGGGGAGCCTCTGCTTGCTCATGTCGGCTCCTATATCAACACAGTTTGCACAGGTTTGCAGAGCCAGGCCCTGTTCGAAATACAGGCAGTGAACAGACCTCACAAATGGGGAGTCTTTGTCAGACCCCCTGCCATGGGTGGCAAGGGTGCAGACCTAGCAGCTTGTGACAGGCGGGGCCAGGCTGGCTGTCACCTGCTCACACAGCCTCTTGGCCCCGGGTGGAATGCTAAGCACAGCAGGTGCTCTGTAACAAGGCACTGTCAGGCGCATCTTGCAAGAAGCCCTTGCCCAGCCTCCAACCATCAGGGGATGGGTTTGTGCTGGCTGGAGTCACCAGACCATAGGTCCGCACAGGCAAAGGCCTCCTTCCTACTTACTCTGACAAGAAGGAGCGGCTCTCTGCCAGCAGACAAGCAGTGAGGGTCTAGGTGCCTGGTGACCCCAACTGGCTTTGCTTCCAGGGCTGTTGCGAGCCACAGTGTTATGTGATAGTGAAGAGTGCCACTCAGGAGACTTTTGTTCTGGCCCTGGTCCTGCCGTGGATTTACTGTGACACTGAGTGAGTCACTTTCCTTCTTTGGGCCTCAGTTATGTCATCTATAAAATGGGAATATACACCTGTTTTGTCCTCTCACTCTTTTTTTGTTTTGTTGTTGTTGTTTTGTTTTTTGAGACAGAGCCTCACTCTGTTGCCCAGGCTGGAGTGCAGTGGCATGATCTCGGCTCACTACAACCTCTGCCTCTGGGTTCAGTCGATTCTCCCTGCCTCACCCTCCCGAGTAGCTGGGGTTACAGGCGCCCACCACCACGCCTGGCTAATTTTTGTGCTTTTAGTAGAGACAGGGTTTCACCACGTTGGCCAGGCTGGTCTTGAACTCCTGACCTCAGGCGATCCGACCGCCTGGGCCTCCCAAAATGCTGGGATGACAGGTGTGAGCCACCGCGCCCGGCCACGCACTCTGGTAAAGACGAAAACTACGTCCTGCGCCCCGGTAGGTTCTAAGCTGCCGGAAAGTGAATGGTGAATATGAGGTTTGAGTTAGCACTGGAGTTATTTGGAGGGATGGTAGCCTGGGCTTTTCAATCACTGGAAACGATTAAAAGCCAGAACAACCTGCACAGGCCGGCCCAGCAGTTCTAGCTTACTCAGAAGATCCCAGTAGACGCACATGCAGCTTCTCTGACGTTCGGGTCTGCTGATGGGGACCCAGAGTATGTGGCCCTCCTTCCTCTAGTTCCCAGGCAGGGACGCACACGTGCAACTCCAAGGCTCCATCTATTTTCCTTTAATAAACTTCAGCACGGACACAAATTCGCCCAACATGTAAAAGTGCAATTCCGAAAGGATCCTGCTAGAACAAGGTCCACGGTACAAAAGCATCCTATGGTTATGTAACTGCAGCGGCCACCAAGCGTCCCCCTCTGGGCTCTGGAGGGTTTCGGCCCTGCCTGCCTCCCCCCCTCCTCCTGGGGCAGCTGGGACAGGGGACCCCTGTTTGAAGACAGCGGGGACAACGGCCCGGGAGGCAGCTGAATTGCCCATTGTGAGGCCCTTCTTCCTTGGCACTGCCTGAACCCCGTAGCCCACTCCGGCTGCCCGGGCTCTTCTGCCTTCTCCTGGCACCAGCCTCCGGGCCCGGGCCAGCTGCTAGGAGAGCGAGAACACTGTTTCTGAAGGGTGCTGCTTGCTTCTTTGTTCCCGGTTTCCGAAGCGCGAATCCCGAACGCCGTGAGAAACCTCAGGCTCGGGCGGCAGCGCGGGAGTCTGGGGCGCTGGAGGCCGGCGCCGGCTGCGGAGGAGGAGCGCCCTCTAGCGGCAGGTCCGCCCAGGGAGAGGCGGAAACGCGGAGTCTGATTCGAAGGCGGGCACTGGGGACCCTGCCCCGGGCCGAAAGCCCCCTGGAGGACAGTGGTGTTTGGCTTCGGTCCCAACATACAGGCCCTGGGCAGTCGCAGGGATGGCAGCTTTCAAACTGAAACCCAAGAAGTGATCATGCAGACCCTGCCTCAAGTGGCATCACTTCTTAATTGAAAAGAGGCCGAGGCGAGGCGGGAATGAAGGCCACGCTGAAGCCCTGCAGAACAGGGGTGTGTGTGTGTGTGTGTGTGTGTGTGTGTGTGTGTGTGTGTGTGTGTGTGTGTGTGTGTGTGTGTGTGTGTACATGTGTGTAAGGTGTGTGTGTGTGTGTGTGTGTGTGTGTGTGTGTACATGTGTGTAAGCACCACGTGAGGCAAGCAGGGACCCCAAATCCACTGCTAGGGGAGATGCCACAGTGCCCTGCCATGGCACCACTGCTCGTGCCAAGCCTGCCCCATCGACACCGGCCCCACCCAAGGCAAAACCAAGCAGACCCAAACCAGTAACAACTTATCCCCTTAGCCAGAGAGCACCTCCACACAAGTCTATCCTGAGTCCTAAAAGAGGATGGAAAAATCTCAAGTAAAAATCTCATGCCTGTAATCCCAGCACTTTGGGAGGCCAAGGCAGGCGGATCACTTGAAGTCGGGAGTTCGGGACCAGCCTAGCCAACATGGTGAAACCCCATCTCTACTAAAAATACAAAAATTAGCCCGGCATGGTGGTGGGTGCCTATAACCCCAGCTACTTGGAAGGCTGAGGCAGGAGAACCGCTTGAACCAGGGAGGCGGAGGTTGCAGTGAGCGGAGATGGTGCCATTGCACTCCAGCCTAGGGGACTGAGCAAGACTGTGTCTGGAAAAACAAAAATCTCCAGAAACATTCCCACCCCCTCCATACAGCCAGCTCTGAGTCACTGGCTGCTGGCTGGCCAGTCACACAGCACCATGGACATGCAGAGGTACCAGTGGGCACTTGGTGTGTGCTGCCCAGATGAGGACACAGAGTTAGTCAGAAGATTCTCGGGCAAATGGATCCAAAACAGTCCTGGAATGCAAATGTGAAGTATTTCCACAGCCGTGGCAGGAACACATAACTGGCACTATTTATAAGCGATAAAAGGGTTATTTCATGCATCCTCTTTAAGCTGCAAATGCTTCATTTACAAAAGAAAAAAACCTGTCCTTTTCATTCATGAGACTGGCTTAAGGATCAAATGAGATCTGTTTTTAATATAAAGATGTTTTCTTAAAATCTCTGTATGAAATTATCTCCGGAGAGATAGATTCACCATGTTTGCCCTGAGATTTAGAGGCCTCTGCCTGCCACTCCACACCCTGTTTGTGAAGGCCCAAGTCACTCACTATGCAAAGAAGTCATTCCCTCTAGTTAGTGTTAAAACCAGTTATGGGTCTTCCTGGCATGGTGGATAATCCACACGTGGATAATCAAGAGTTGACTATATGGGTTCCTCCCTCCCCTCCCCTTCCACCAGGGATCCCTGACAGAGGCCACAGCGAGACTCTTCAGCGGATGTAGATCATGTCGGAGATGGCTCCAGGCAAGTGGGTCATGATCTGCATTCGCAGCCACCAGTAGTAGTCCATGGGGTGGTAGCGGGTGTAGGGGGTGGTGGCGGTCAGGGCGTGTGTGACAGCATCGATGACAGGGGACGTGTCTGTGGAGCCACTGCTGCAGTAGGTCTCCATCTTGGCGATCTTTTCATCAAAGTACTTCTTGCCGTAGTCCTTGCGCACGACCTCAGGCAGCTCCTCCCACATCTTCTTGGCGATGGCCTGAATGCTCTCAGGGCTGTAAAGGCTGGTGGCAGCGATGAAGTTGCCGGGCTCCACCACGCTGACCTTCACGCCCAGGGGGTACATCTCATAGCGCAGGCAGTCCGAGAAAGCCTCTACCCCGAACTTGGTGATGCAGTACGGGGAGCGGGCCGGGTTGGCCATGCGGCCCAGCATGCTGCTGATATTGACGACGCGGCCTACAGAGGGAGACAGAGGTACCTGCTAAGCCGTTACTGCCCTATGACACAGCGGGCAGAAGTCTGGCATGTCTCTAGAGGCTTGGCTGGAACCACTTCTGAGCCACCCAGGAGCCTTCTCAGTCAATAGGCAAGGCCAGCTCAGGCCCACGCATCAGCATCGGCACCCCTGGTCTTCCCTGGGAACCTGGCTGTGCCAGGCAGGACAGGGGAGGACAAGTGAGTGAGAAGCAGCAGGGCACAGTGTAATGGGCAACACGCAACTGACTCAAAAACCAGATCAAGCCCGATGCGGTGATAATTTGGGGTGAAAACACGAGGGGAGAAGTGGGAGGCGAGACAGCTGTCTGTGTGGATCTGAGCTTTCACTATAGGCAAGGTCTGGTGCTGGTGAGGGAGAAATACAGCCTGAAAGCTTCCCCTTCCCCTTATGGAGCTTAAAGTCCAGCTCCAGTAGTACGACGTGCAGATAAGTAGCACACTAGGGCCAAGTGTCTAGCCACTGACAGCAGCCCTGGCGATGGGGGTTGGAGTGCAGACGAGGAAGTACCTGGGGCTGCAGCTGGGAGGGAGCCCCGGGACAGCCCTGAAAGAGGACAGGACCCGTGCTGTTAGGCCCAACTCCCCAACTCCATTCCACCCTGGTAGGGTGGAGCCTGGGTGGAGACCAGGACCGCCTGGCAAACAGAGCAGCAGGCAGGGGCAGGGGCAGGATTTCTGAACCTGACTTCAGGGCTAGGATATGAGGAGAGAGTCCTGGGCACTGGGAGAGTGTGGTGATCCCCCTCCAAAGGCCACAGGCCCAGCCTGGGGGCATCAGGGGCCTCCCACAGCTCCTCCTGGCCCTGGGAACAGAGGGGTTGGAAGTGGATTGCATTTGGCCCAGCCCGGGAAGCCGAGGCGGATCTGGGACCAGTTTTCCTGGGAGGGAACTCAGCCCATCCAGGTGTGTCCCGGGGAGGGCACTCAGCCCATCCAGGTGTGTCCCCGGGAGGGCACTCAGCCCATCCAGGTGTGCCCCCGGGAGGGCACTCAGCCCATCCAGGTGTGCCCCCGGGAGGGCCCTCAGCCCATCCAGGTGTGCCCCCGGGAGGGCACTCAGCCCATCCAGGTGTGCCCCCGGGAGGGCACTCAGCCCATCCAGGTGTGTCCCCGGGAGGGCACTCAGCCCATCCAGGTGTGTCCCCGGGAGGGAACTCAGCCCATCCTGGGGGAGGCACCTTTCAGAAAGCTCTAAATTTGAAGTCACTGAAGGGTTGGGGTTTCCATCTAAAATCCTACAGCTGCAGTCTGTGTTCATGCTTGTTGTTGCTAGGACTTCACCATAGATGTATGGATCTTACCCTTTTTGCCACAATTGTTTGCTATGCCAGAGAAAAAAATCCAAGTCAATGACTTCTAAAGTGGTTTGCTCACATTTGGCCACCCACATGGTTTGGGTGTTTTGTTGGTTTTCCAAATTTCTAATCTTGATTTTTACTATTGTTCCCTAATACCACAATGATCTCATTTTTTAAACTACGATATAAATAACCCATAGAATGAATATGCCAGATTTTACTAACCACACCTGACTGATACAAAGATGTGTACACACAGCTTTGTGCAAAGGGTGATTCTCTCTATAGATTAGGTGTGCAGAGTGGATGGCTGCTCAACTCTTTAAGCTTTTGCTGCATGGACCACTGACCTCTTACCTGCTCTGCTTCCTCCTCCCCTACCCGGCCACAGCCCCTCTGCCCACCATCACCCCAGGCCCAGCATAGTCCCTGGGATTCACGAGCTCACCTCTGCTGAGTTGTGGACATTGGAGCTGCTGGGACAGGTATTTCCATTCTGAGCAAAGATGAACACGTGGGGCAGGTTCAGGGGCAGGAGGGAGCTCCCTTTCCCACTCACCTTTGGCCCTTCGGATGAGGGGGAGAAAGGATTTCGTCATCCGCACTGTGCCCCAAAGGTTCACTTCTGCCACCTGCTTGTAGGTCTCCAGGCTGGTGAACTCCACCTCCCCGAACGTTGAGATGCCGGCATTGTTAACGAGGCCCCACATGCCTGGACAGGAGAGGGATAGATGTGCATTTACCACATGGGCTTGGCCCAGACATTGCCCATCAGCCTGCAGGCCAGCCTCCTCTCTGCTTCTTTCCTGTGACTTCCCAGCCTCTCGCCCAGTGCTCTCAAGAAACTTTCTAGAGTCACTCAGGAACGACAGGAGGTAAAGAGGCCTAAAGTGCTGACTGCAGCCCTCCCTTGCGTCTAGAATGTCCAGTCCTCACGTCACATCTGCCTGGCTCGAGTCTCTGGGCCCATCATGACCCAGCCTGCCGTGTCCCCCGGCCTTCAGTCTCACCTCACCTCAAATTCCCACTTCCACTCCACTCCACCCCATCCCATCCCCACACCCTGAGTTTGAGTTTCACGCCCCGTTCCTGTTTACTCATCTCTGCCCTTGAGCTTTTGCTCACGTCTTCTCTTCTCTTGCCAGAAGCCAGGGAAATCACAGGGGAGGTGGGCACGAGGAGGCAGCTGTGTTTTGCAGGGACCTCTCTGAGTTCAGTTTGTTGGGGTGCAAAGGCTGGATGGGTCAGAGCCTCAGGACAGAGCTGGGCCCTGCCTCTTTGTTGTGGAAACCCTCAGTGTTTGGTCTCCCGGGCCGATAGCCCCGTGCTCCTTCCCAAGGCACAGCCTCAGAGCAGAGCTCCCATCCTGGGGCCCTCCCCTGCCTGTGGGAACTCGGCGCTGCTTTATTTTCCAAGTTAATCATGGAAATGAGTTTGTGTAAATGACAGAGTAATTGGTCTCTAGCTGCTTTCCTTCCGTGTTACCCAAATTAAAGCTTCATTCACTGCCCTCTGGTGCCTTCTCCTTCAATTATGGAGAATTAAGGGCATTTATTAGGGAAAGGAAATTGCTGGTTAACAGAGTGTCCATGAAGAGCTCACTCCCACTCTCCACCAAAGCCTTGCGGGTGTCTCCCTGCTCTAGGTCTCACCTGTGACCTCGCTCAGATGCTAATGACAGGATCAGCGTCATCCACGACCCCACAGCTCCCACTGTCTCCCTGCAGACGCGCCCTGAGTCTTCACCTTCTTCTCTTCCCAGGAGGAGCAGCAGGCCACTCCCCACCCGTCATGGCTGACACTTCCACGTCATCTTCGAGACCATAGCCACTGATCCTTCTCTCTCTTTTACACAATTTCAGCTTTTCCACTGCCCATGACTCCATCCCTTCAGTTCTATACACATTAGGAGCTCAACAAATGTGTGTTAGATGAATGAGTGTCCACAAATACCGCATTTCCATATCCCGAAGATCCTTCTGTAACTGTGCTACCTGCTCTCCCTCCCTCCACGCCAGGCTTCCAAGAACTCTATCCTGTAATACAAAGATTAGCCGGGTGTGGTGGCGGGCACCTGTAGTCCCAGCTACTCGGGAGGCTGAGGCAGGAAAATCTCTTGAACCCAGGAGGCAGAGGTTGCAATGAGCCGGATCATGCCACGGCACTCCAGCCTGGGTGACAGAGCACGCACACACACACACACACACACACGCGCGCGCGCGCGCTCTATCCTCTCCATCTCCCTTCCATACCACACTGGGTCCCAGCCCTCAGCTGTCCTGACCACGCAGTCTCCAGGGTCTCCAGGGTGGTACACCAAGGACCTCACCCCCAGTCTTCACTCTCCTCAGGCTCGCTACGATATGAGTACTGCCAGTACTCCTTGAGGCTCACCTCTCCCTCAGCATTAGTGATACCCAGGCATCTCCTGCATCTTCCCTGACACCTTTCTTTCACCTGCCCCCAGATACAAGTGGCCCCCAATGTCCTGGCCTAATCCTGCTCCTCTCAAAGTACACTTAACTCTTAGGTGTCCTCATCTTCTTCATGTTTGTGAATTTTGCAGCCGTTTTGTGTTTGATTCATAACGGACAATATCCCATGACTTAAAATGCATACAGCCCTTTCTCTACCTAAAAATAAAACAATGACATTTGACGCTACTATCCAAAAAAGTTTAATGAAACATGACCTGTGAAAGTGCACAGCCCCTGGATTACAGCTTTAATGAGTGTTGAGAGTGGTGGACCTAGTTGCCATCTGGAATCCTCAGCCAATGTTCTGAATAAACTCACGGAGGCATGCCCGCTGGTTGGGTGACAGCAACTTTCCTGTAACATCCCCAAGATCGCCTCCGCACCAGTGGCCCCTCAGTTCTCCTTGGGAGTCACGGCTCTCTCTCCTCATCCCATCTCCTGTCTCGCTTCCACCTGAATGTCCCACGGGTCCCTGACTCACCCTAACCACAACCAACACGTCAAGTTTCCAAGCTGCCCAAGCCTGCTCCTCCTCTTTGTTAATGATTTTACTTTTGTCTGTGACTCCTCCAGCTCCTCCACCCCTCCCCCACCTACTGAGTCACCCAGTACTGCTAATATTACAGCTCAAGATCAACATGACAGCTGGCAGACCCCTAATCAAGCCCTTTACATTCATTAACTTCCCTGATCCTCACAACCACCCTGGAAAATAGATCCTAAATTGTCTCATATCCGGTTGAGGCAACTGAAGCTCAGAGAGGTTAAGCACCTTGGTCAATGTCACCCAGCTAACAGGCAGGGAGGGTGGGATTTGGACCCAGATCTCTCTGAGGACAAAGTCCCCACGCCCCAGGCTGTTGCTGGTTTCCTCTGCTGGGTCAGTTCTTCCTTCCTGTTTCCACTAGCATTCCCTTGGGTCCTCGCTGCCTGTCTCCTGGGCTGCTGGAGAAGCCTCCTGGGTCTGTTTGTCTCACTCACTCCTCCACCTCCGTCTTCACCCCACCCCTCAGGCAGACCCATCAGTCACTTCCTGCTCTATGGTCTCCATCCCCCCTCAGGCCGACCCCCGCATCAGTCATTTCCTGCTCTATGGTCTCCATCCCCCCCTCAGGCCGACCCCCGCATCAGTCATTTCCTGCTCTATGGTCTCCATCCCCCCCTCAGGCCGACCCCATCAGTCACTTCCTGCTGTATGTCTCCATCCCCTCCTCAGGCTGACCCCCCCACCCCATCAGTCATTTCCTGCTCTATGGTCTCCATCCCCCCTCAGGCCGACCCCCTCATCAGTCATTTCCTGCTCTATGGTCTCAATCCCCCTTCAGGCCGACCCCCCCATCAGTCACTTCCTGCTCTATGGTCTCCATCCCCCTTCAGGCCGACCCCCCCATCAGTCACTTCCTGCTCTATGGTCTCCATCCCCCCTCAGGCCGACCCCCCCAATCAGTCACTTCCTGCTCTATGGTCTCCATCCCCCTTCAGGCCGACCCCCCCATCAGTCACTTCCTGCTCTATGGTCTCCATCCCCCCTCAGGCCAACCCCCTCATCAGTCATTTCCTGCTCTATGGTCTCCATCCCCCTTCAGGCCGACCCCCCCATCAGTCACTTCCTGCTCTATGGTCTCCATCTCCCCCTCAGGCTGACCCCCCCAATCAGTCACTTCCTGCTCTATGGTCTCCATCTCCCCCTCAGGCTGACCCCCCCCATCAGTCACTTCCTGCTCTATGGTCTCCATCTCCCCCTCAGGCTGACCCCCCCCAATCAGTCACTTCCTGCTCTATGGTCTCCATCTCCCCCTCAGGCTGACCCCCCCAATCAGTCACTTCCTGCTCTATGGTCTCCATCTCCCCCTCAGGCTGACCCCCCCCATCAGTCACTTCCTGCTCTATGGTCTCCATCTCCTCATCAGGCTGACCCCCCCCAATCAGTCACTTCCTGCTCTATGGTCTCCATCCCCCCTCAGGCCGACCGCCCCCCATCAGTCACTTCCTGCTCTATGGTCTCCATCTCCCCCTCAGGCTGACCCCCCCAATCAGTCACTTCCTGCTCTATGGTCTCCATCTCCCCCTCAGGCTGACCCCCCCCAATCAGTCACTTCCTGCTCTATGGTCTCCATCTCCCCTCAGGCCGACCCCCCCCCATCAGTCACTTCCTGCTCTATGGTCTCCATCCCCCCTCAGGCCGACCCCCCCCATCAGTCACTTCCTGCTCTATGGACTCCATCCCCCCCTCAGGCCGACCTCCCCGATCAGTCACTTCCTGCTCTATGGTCTCCATCTCCCCCTCAGGCTGACCCCCCCGATCAGTCACTTCCTGCTCTATGGTCTCCATCCCCCCCTCAGGCCGACCCCCCCGATCAGTCACTTCCTGCTCTATGGTCTCCATCTCCCCCTCAGGCTGACCCCCCCAATCAGTCACTTCCTGCTCTATGGTCTCCATCCCCCCTCAGGCCGACCCCCCCCATCAGTCACTTCCTGCTCTATGGTCTCCATCCCCCCTCAGGCTGACCCCCCCCATCAGTCACTTCCTGCTCTATGGACTCCATCCCCCCTCAGGCCGACCCCCCCCCATCAGTCACTTCCTGCTCTATGGACTCCATCCCCTCCTCAGGCCGACCCCCCCCATCAGTCACTTCCTGCTCTATGGTCTCCATCCCCTCCTCAGGCCGACCCCCCTCATCAGTCACTTCCTGCTCTATGGTCTCCATCCCCCCTCAGGCTGACCTCCCCGCCCCATCAGTCACTTCCTGCTCTATGGTCTCCATCCCCCCCTCAGTCACTTCCTGCTCTATGGTCTCCATCCCCCCTCAGGCCGACCCCCCAATCAGTCACTTCCTGCTCTATGGTCTCCATCCCCCGCTCAGGCACCCCCCATCAGTCACTTCCTGCTCTATGGTCTCCATCCCCTCCTCAGGTGGATCCCCCCATCAGTCACTTCCTGCTCTGTGGTCTCCATCCCACAGCATGGTAGGCCAGGCCTTTTCCAAGCTTCTCCCTTACTCCTCCACATATGTTCTGCTGCCTGTCAGCCTGCGAGCAGCTTGTGTTGAAATTCTTCCCATGCTCTTGTAGTGGTCTGATCCAGGCATGAGTGCTGGACGGCTCAGAGCACTCTCCCACTTCACAGATGGGCAAGCTGAGACCCACACAGGGGGCAGGTGCAAGCCCAAGATCACATTTCTAATAAGTGAAGCCCAGGTCAGGCGTGGTGGCTCAGGCCTATAATCCCAGCACTTTGGGAGTCCAAGGCAGGTGGATCACCTGAGGTCAGGAGTTTGAGACCAGCCTGGCCAACCTTGTGAAACCCCTTCTTTACTAAAAAAAAAAAAAAAATTAGCTGGGCATGGTGGCAGGCGCCTGTAATCCCAGCTCCTCGGGAGGCTGAGACAGGAGAATCACTTGAACCCGGGATGTGGAGGTTTCAGTGAGCCGAGATCGCACCATTGCACTCCAGCCTGGGCGGCAGAGTAAGACTCTGTCTCAAAAAAATTAATTAATTAATTAATTAATGTTGACTGACTGACTGGTAAGTGATGTGCCAAGATCAGGCCATGCCCACGGCCTGCTCTCGGGCCCACTGGCTCGGTGTCCCCTGGGGTGGGGACAGGGAGGGCTGGTCCCAGGCTCCAGATGTCCTGTCCCTCAGCGTCCTGCGGGGGTCGGGGCCGGTGGCAGATGGCTCTGTGGCTCTCACCAGACAATCTCCTTCATCTCGCCCCCGTGGCTGGCTCCCCGGGCTTTGGCAGCAACTGTTCCACAGAGCCAGGCTGCAGGGCGTCAAACTCGCCAACCAAATGTGCCCCCCCGGTGGAGAAGGGGAAGAGGACCCTTCTGACATGTCCTGCATGGGGTGTGGGTCGGTGGCGGCCACTGCGGGTCGGAACGCTCTGGGAGGGTGCTCCCTGGAGTTCACAGCCGGCATTGCCTGAGGGGGAATTGCCAAGGCAAGGCCAAGACATGGCAGAGTGGCAGAGTGTGGAGGGGAAGCAGGGAGAGGGAGGAGAGGGAGACGGGAAGAAAGCGAGAGCAGGAGATGGGGGACACGCCACTGCATATCTGACGGATGTACTGTTTTCTTCAGACCTAAAAGTCTTCAAATCCTTTTCCAAAAAAAAAAAATGCAGTATCGGTTAAGGAAGTTGATGGTGAGAGGTTCATCCAGCCCTCCGGAATGCCCGGCGTGGGAAAAGCAGCAGGGAAAGGTCTGCGCGTCAGGCTGGTGCTGGGGTTGGAGCCCAGATCCCCGGGCAGGGGGTGAGTGCCTCCCCTCTGTGTGGGCCGGGGCCCACCCTGCCTTGTAGGTTAGGCTGCCTGGCCAGTCCAGTACAGACAATGGAAGTGATTCTGCCCCAGAGTCAGGGGGGCAGGGGACGAGGACCGCCAGCCTGAGCAAGCCGGCCTGGTGCGTTCTCTGCTTGGGTCTCCGGTGATGACGCCTTTCCACGGGCATTTTAGATCACCACAAAACCCACGCTATAATCAAGTGGCTTTATGGTGCCGATGCAGCTGTTTTCCTGCCCAGTAGTTTATGAAGGAAAATATAGCAGCTGCCCAGGGAAGGTGGGAGGGAGGAGAATTTACCGCCAGGGAAGGGCGAAGCAGGCTGCAGGTTCTGAGCCGGTAATCACCCCAGCGGGACCCATCCTGCCTTTTCTTAATGGGCTGGCTCTGCCTGTTAATTATTAAACAGATGTTCAGCGAGAACAGAGAACAGAGAGGCCTGTGAATGGCCTGTTGGGAGGATGGGAGCGACAGTGGGCTGATGAGGTGGCACATCAGAGACAGGCAGAGGAGCGGCATCACCGACAGCCACACACGCAGCCTCTGAGGCAGCTGCTGTGACAGACAGCACATCCATCTGGCTGATACAGGCTCAGCAGAGCTCCCCGCATGGGATCTGGTCACTCCTGCCTTTTCCGCCTCCTTCCCCAGCCACTGAAGTAGCTGCTCCTGAGAGCTGCCCCACCCCATTCTGAGGGAAAGCAGAGGCCTGAATGACGCACACCCTTTCTGCCTGGGCTGTCAGGGAGCTCAAAGGTAAACTTCATAGATTCGCTTCTCCAGATGCTGCTGGGCGGCCCGGCTCCAGGGAGCTCCATCCCCCACTGCTGTATTCTACATGAATGGCACCCCGAGGTTGCAGACAGAGCTCCTCCCACAAGGCCCTCCACTGGCTGAACTGGAAGGATATTTTAGTCCTTATGCTACTGGAACTTTCTGTAGCTTTTGACCCTGTTGGCTACTGGTACTGCCCTCTCCTCCAAACTTTCTGTTGTTTAGCCTCTGGGGAACTGTATCCAACCTCTCTGACAGCTGCCTCTCCCCCTCCTCTGATCCCCGAACACTCACATTCCCAGGGGTCCCTCTGTGCATCTCCCCGACTCCCAGTGTCACCTGCCGTGGGCACCTGCTCTTCTAGCCTGGACATTCCCTCAGGGTGGGCGCTTCAGTGTCTCCCTATCTCCCCACCTGCTCCTGCAGTGCGGGGCACCAGGTGTCCAGGACAGAGACTTCGCGCCTCACCTCATCCCCACATCCAAGTCACCAAGTCCAGGCAGCTTCGCCTTCTCAACACTCCTCGCACCTGACCCTTCCTGTTTCCCAACACCTACCACCCTAGTTCCGGAGTCCAGAACCCATGTTTAACTCCCGCTTTGAATCCACCTTCACATTGCCACTGCCATCCTCAGAGGGAGATTCACAAGTCTCACAATGACCAGGCCATTCCCTCAGGATGACCCCTTCAGTGGCTCCCCAGTGCCATTGGGAGACCAGCCATGTTCCCTCGCCTGGGATCCAAGACCTCCCTCCCCAACCTCCTTTGCTGCCACCCCCTCTGCGTGACCTGACCCATGACTCATATTGAGGTGCCGGCTAATCCCACCACTTGACCAACAGCCCCCGCTACCCTCCCCGTGCTCCTCGAAGCTGTGGTTCCTGCTCTCCCCTCCTCTTGGAACAACCATATCTGCTCTCTGCCACAATCTGCCTTAACTGGCCTATTTCCACTGCGCCCCCATGGCTGGACTGACCCCTCCTTCCTGTGCTGCTCTGCCTCTCTCAATGCACGGCTCCCTGATTTTGAACTCAGTCCTCCGGCTGAACTATGAGGTCCTGGGGACAGAATGTGCCTTGACCATCTTTGTGTCCCTGGCACCCAACCCAGCTCCTGGGCCAGAGGGGGCATCAATGGGCATTGGCTGAACTGACCTGAATCAGTGCGTAGCCACCTAGCACTCCGTGAACTCTGAAATCACCTCCTGACTGTATTTTTCCATTGCCCTATTGCACGTGTATGTTTAGTGTAATCCTCTTCCTCCTACTGTGCAGGAGGAAGAGCCTAAACAATAAGGAAGGGAGTGTGGTGGCAGGATGCCAGCCAGTGGAAGGTGGTGTTCGGCAAGTGCCCCTTGGAATGGCCCCATACACAACCCCTGCCGTCCGAAGGGGCGCCCTACCTTTCTCAGGGTCCTTCAGGCTCGAGCGGACAATCTCCACCACTTTCTCCACCTCTTCGCTGCTGCAGACATTGAGCTGGACGGTTCTCAATCGGTCACTGTTTAGGCTGTCCAGCTCCTTGACCCCATCATGGCCTTTGTCCTGGGGAGGAGAGAAGAGCTGCTTCTACCTCCTTCCTTCCCACCCTGAGGCAGACCCTGAGGACTCCTGTCAAGGCAGGAGCTGGCCTCAAGTCCCAGCCAAAGCCTCAGGCATACTGGCAACTGCCCATGGGCCTGGCCCACCAGCATGCGGTTCTTTTTAATCCTGAGCACTGATGACCTATCAAGCATCAAGCTATGTGCCACAGACACAACCATGAATAGGATGAAGAGCCGGCCCCCAAGGCCTCAAGACAGGATTCCTTCTCCAAGCAGGGGTTGCAAACTTATGTGGGGCAGGCGGGGGCCCTGGGGAGTACAGGACATGTCAGGAATTACCACGTGGGGATGGAAACCCAGGGTTGCCAGATGCTTACATTTTTAAGCTAGTAATTGGGAAATCTCTTCATTCTTTTAAGTGTTGGCAACTTACACACATTTAAAAAAAAAAACAAAAAAACACTGTGAAGGCCAAAGCACGTCCACAGGCCACATAGGACCAGCAGGCTGCCAGTTTGCCACCTCTGTTCTAAGCCAAGGGCCCATCAACTCCAAATTGGTAAGAGGCCAGAGCCAGCCTCTAATCCCAGCTCAGTCACTGAGTAGGCTTTGTGCACTCAGGGGTGTCCCTGAACAGGGGTCCATTTTTTCTGGCTGTAAAACAGGAACATCACCACCTGTCCTGACCTGCTCAGATTAATGGAGTAAGGAAATGGATTTGTAAGAAGCCTGTTAAAGAGTCTAAAGCACCACACAAATTCAGGTACTGCTAAACAGGAGAAAGGCGTCACTCGCTCGGCAAACATTTCTTGGGCCCCTATCGTGTTCCGGCACTGTGCTAGGAACTGGAGGTCAAGATCAATCATTCAGCCCCTGTTCCCAGAGTCGTGTTCTAGGGAAGGAGACAGGTGAGCACGTAAGCGACACAGTGACTGTGTGCTGTATGGAACCTGGCGGGAGGTGGGAGGGGCACAGGAGGGACGGGCAGGGGAGACCTTCCAAAGGCAGTGACAGCTGAGGACATTCACAAGAGGGGGCCGATGGGGACGGGGCACTGTGGGAAGAGATAAGAGGACGCCACCAGAAGCCATTGGTTGCAGGCAGTGCAGACGCATAAGGAGGTGGTGGATGCAGGGCTGGAGAGGAGGGCAGGGGTCTGCTTGTGGGCACTGCCGAGCTGCTGGGGGGCTTTCCTCTAAGTAGACAGCATTTCCCGAGTGTCCACTGTCCTGAGCACTGTGCTAAGTGCTGATGTGCTTTGTCACGTGCACCCTCGTGTCACCAGGCAGGCTGCATTGTCACATTTCATCCTATTCTATGAAACATGGTTTCTTTCACAATAGGGATGAGCTACACTCGATGTGAAAATTAAACATAGTTGGTCATAAATGACTTAATTGGCAGCAATTTTCCTGAATGGTGCATGGCATAGTGACACCTCTTGTAAGAGGACAGGACTAGCAGCCAAGAGTAAAGGGGTAGAGAAATGCCCACTCGCCAGCCAAGGGCTTGCCCATGGCACACACAGCTGCTACTGAAGCAAACATCCCAGGCGCGGGCAAGGGTGGAAAGCCCAGGACGGTCAGCACTTGTCAGGGGTGGAAAGTCCTCCGCTGGTTAGGCTGAGCCTTCTGAATGCTTTCAACCAGAAGAACCCCAACCCCGGGAATGGAGAAATCACATCATGCAATTTCAGAGGGCACAGGAGGAAATGGTGAAGGGACTGCCCAATGGGGCCGGAGGTGCTGGACGTAGTCACCCCGGAGAGAAGACTTGAGTGGAACATGACTGAGGGAGCCAGCTTGTTCCATGCAGCCACAGAGAACAGAGCCAGGACCAAGAAGTCCAGCTCAGCTCAAAATGAGGCGTGATCTTCACAGTCTGGAGATGGCATGAGCTGCCTGGAGGTGTTGAGGCAATGAGTTGGGGTGGGGGGTTGTTTGGAGGTAGGAGGGATGTTTGGGGGTTGGGGGGATGCTTGAGGATGGGGTGTGGGAAAGGTGGTACAGAGACAATCCCGGCATTGGACAGGAGGTCGGGCTGATCTCCCCTACCTAACACCGCTTCCGTTCCTGGACTGTCGTCTTCACCGCCTGGTTTTCCATGGAAAGGAAGCCTCCCCAGTGGCCCTTTGAAAAGGCACTGTGGCGTGGCCCGCTAAGTCTCTGCAGAGGCACCAGGGATGCCTTCGGACACAGCAGCCAGGCCGGAGGCTCGATGGTCTAAAGTTTGGCTCTGAAATCCCCTAGGTGCGCCGACCTTCCCAAACAAGACGCAGGCATGAGATGCACGGGACAGATGGGCCTGGAGCTCAGGCTGTCATTCCCACAGAGGACTCCACCAAGAAAGAACTAATGCATCTTCAGGTCTAGGGTGTGATGACGTGGTGCCTGCAGACCCCTCTCTTCCACAGGCGGCACACAGGTACCAGGAAAACACGTGTCTTGCTTTAATGCAGTCTTCCACCTGGTGGCCCTTCAAATGCCCCTTGGCGTGGAGCTCACATGATCTGAACCTCAGAAAGGTGGATTCTAGCTGACATGCACAAGAGGTATCTAAATGTCCTTCCTCTTGGGACTTGGTTAACCCTGTTGCTATCATTCAGCTCTTCTCAGACCCCTATACAAGACCTCTCTGGTGCCCCTACACAGCATCACGACAAGGTCCCTGCAGTCCTCAGGGGAAACCCCCGACTCCAAGTCAGTAAACTCTTAATTTGGCAGTTTGACAGTGAAGAGTCTTCTTTCAGAGGAAACTAGGGGATTAATCTCACTGCCCACGGCTTCAGGCTCCCGAGGAGAGCAACGCTACCCTCCTATCTTCACTGACAGACCCACCCCAGGAACCCTCACCTGCCTTTGGGCAGCCTCCACACCCTGCTCCTGACAACCACGCCAATAGGGACAGAAACTACCAATTTGCCCCCAGTTATTCAGAGAAATCTTTCCAACCACCCTCAGCCTGCTGGCTGCAGACTCTGGTGGCCTGTCCCCCTCAGGGTCTACCTGTCCTCAGGCCAAGACTGCCCCGCAGGCCACACCACCTCCCTGGACCCAGGGTTTCTGTGCTCCCTCTGCAGGTCTCCGTGCTCCCTCTGCAGGTCTGTGTGCTCCCTCTGCTGGTCTCCGTGCTCCCTCTGCAGGTCTCTGGAGTCTCTGTCCACCTCTGTCTGGCTGCTCAGGGACAAGCTTTTAGTTCCGCTGTGTTGGTGCGTGTGCAACTGGCTTATTGATAAACCCACTTCTTTATCTTACTGTCCCTTTCAACCTCACCTGTAAGCTATTTTTTCCAGCCCTGGATGAAACTTCAGGCAAGTTGTATAGCTTTTCCACTCATTCTCAGACAGTGGACAGAGAGCCTCTTTGTTTTGGCATGAAGAGTCCTGTTCAGTCTCTTAAGCAAATAATTCCAGCCCAGCCTGGTTTGAGAACCCAAACTCCCAAACTTGTATGCGAGGTAAAGCTTTCCCCTGCCCAGCCCTGAGGGCTGTGGGAAGTAGGTGCTGGTGGAGGTTGTCTTTCTCACTGTTTTCTAGCTCCTCTCCCCTCCTATTCTTAACTTCTGACCCTTCCAAGGTTGGATCCGGGGCAGCAAATTAGGGGCAAGACTGTAGTCGTCTGAGGCTGGCTAATGTCTGCTGTTGCTGCCCCTGAGAGAGCAGGTGCACAAAAGCCAGCTCTTCCTTCTTGGGGTGCTTCTGTGGAGTCTACAAAGATTCTGCCACGGAGACCTCCGACTGCCACTCCAGACGCAGGGCAGCGTGCCTCCCCCAGCCGGGCATCTGCTCCCTCAGCCCCTGGCCTCAGTGATGTACCCGCTTCTGGCTGGGGCCACATGGATCCTCCCAGCCAGCTCACTGGATGGTTACCCTTAAGGTGACTCCAAGCAGCTCTCTCCACTGTCCACACAGGGCCAGGCAACTGTTTCCTGCCCAGGTAGAAGGATAGCCCTCTCCCGACCAGCTCTCCGTGCTCCGCTCCCAGACGAGCCACTCCTGTCTCAATCTCGGGCCTTTAGACTTCTTCTGGTGGACATTAGCATCACACTCTGTGGCCTCCAGACTCCAGGGCACACATGGTAAGCCAAGAAGCTCTCCGGGGAGTTCAAGAACTTGGAGAAGTCCAGAAGCTCTCCAAGGCATTCATATGAAGCCCACCTCATTTTACTTGCCATCAGAGGGAAAATATCAGCACACTAACAACTCTTTCCAGTCGCTCAACCTCTTCTATTTCCATTTCTTATAATACTGAGGCAGCCAATGAGCTGATTCTGGCAGAAAGGTTTTTGTCTCTAGCATATATGTTCAGGTGGTTTAGCACCTCAGGGAAGAACATGAGGACACTCGACACATGTTATACGTCAGCATCTTATCACATGTGTTAGAAACACTTCAGAGAGGAGCGAGCCTGGGCACTGTGATGTTCACAGGATGGGCAGGAGGAGGAGCTAGCAAGCAAGATGGGGAAGAACCCTGAGAGCATAGAGTCAAGAAACGAAGTGTTACGAGCAAGGGTGGTTTATTTGGTCAAAAGCTGCTGCTGGGTTGAGCATGATGTGGTCTGAGAAGTGGCCAATGGATTTGGGAAAATGGGGGCTGTTGATATCCTTGATAAAAGCTGGGTCAGAGGCACTCATGGACCTTCCTGGTCTGGTCCTGCCTTCTTTTCCCAGCCCACCAGGGCACTGGGCTTTGGCGACCTCAAACTACTGGCAGTGCCTCATATGCCACCTGCCCCCATTTCGCAGGGAGCCCCCGTTCATCTTTCCAGATGGTGGTGAGACGCCACCTCTCATTAAGCCTTCCCTATGCTGATACAAGATCTGCTCCCGTGCCCCTCACTTCACTCTACTCCCCCCTCATTCTGCTTCAGCCACAGAGGCTTCATGCTGTTTCTCAGATGCACCCTGCACACTCCCTCCTGGAGCTCTGTACTGCACTGTCCCCTCTTCCCCTGGATTTCTGTGACACTCCCTCCCGCACCTCCTTGGTTTCTGTGACACTCCCTCCTGCACCTCCTTAGTTTCTGTGACACTCCCTCCCGCACCTCCTTGGTTTCTGTGACACTCCCTCCCGCACCTCCTTTGGATGAGGGAGCTCCAATTTACCTTCTTGGTGTGATCTTTCCTCCCTCTTGAAAATCTGACACCCCGTCCACCATGCTTTATCTTCTTTTCCTGTTTTATTTTTCTCTACTGCTTTTACCACCCTGCAGAGAAGCAATTTACTTATCTTATTCCTTGCCTATCATCCCCCCTTGGAATATAAGCTCCGCAAGGGCAAGAACTTCTCACTGAGGTGTTATATGCTGTATCTCCAACAGGGAACACTGTCAGCTTATCTTAGGTGCTCAGTAAATATCTGCTGAATAAATAAACAAGTAAATAAACATCGTGATGGGGCAAAGCCTGATCCAGGTGGGTTGCACCCCCTCTGGGGGTGCTTTTCTGCAACAAGGAGCAGAGCCGTGGGGAGGTAATGTACACAGGGTGTGGTGGTGTAGGTCTGTATGAGTGAGTGAGTGAGTGTGTGTGTGTGTGTGTGTGTGTGTGTGCATGTGCTGAAATGACCCAGGAGAGAGCGTGGAGCCAGTGACGTAGGAGGTGGCAGACATCTGCTGGAGCTAAGTCCCTGAGTTGGCCAAAGGCAATGAGATATGAGAGATAAGAGGAACACTAATTCTGAACAAGAGCAGAGAGAGTGTTTAGGTACAGATGTAGCCGGAATCCATCATGGGGCTAACACTACAGAATCGGGCTAGAAGCAAATTCCCCCTTTCAACCCCCACGGTGCCTTATCCAAAGCCTCTGGTGGTGCTAACTGCTTTCTGACTTGCCTGACTGATCTCAGATAGCAGATGGAATGGGTCAAGAGGTAGATACCAACAGATATAACCTGCCAATGAGCTTGTCTGGTACTTTCTTCAAAATACCAGTCAACCAATTCTAGAATCACTGTTGCAGGAGTGGAAGGATCTAAGATCACCAGTCCAATCCTATTAGGGTAAGTAAGAGGAAACTGAGGCCCAGGGAGGGGACATGTTTGTCCCCTTCCGGGGTTAGTGGTCAGTCTAGGACTAGAACCGAAGGCCCTTTTGAAGAGTCTTCTGCAGCATCGAGCAGCCTCTGCCCTGTGCTGTGGAATCTGACTGTGGCTCCCTGTGTCACTGGATAAGCCAGCACAATGGCACAGAAGCCTAACATAGGACAAGGGACTTTACAACATTTTTATGGCATCATGGTTCTTGCTGGGACCCGCTGAGGTAGGTCCACATTCTGCAGAAGAATCCAGCACCAGGGATGCCACACCCATTCCCCAGAACCCTCCCCAGACGGGTTCTCTTGAGCACTGTCAGGAGAGCGACAGCCTTTCAGGAAAGCAGTTTGGGGATTTGAACAAAACCTAAAACCTGCACACCTTTGCAACTTGCACTTTCACATCTACGAAATGTTCCTAAGAATCGCCAGTGGAAGGAGGCAAAGATATATGTGCAAGATGGCTCACCCAGGCTTTGTTAATACCGGTTGAGCATCCCTAATCCAATAATCCCAAATCTGAAATGTTCCAAAATCTGAATTTTGAGTGCTGACATGATGCTCCAGGGAAATACTCATTGGAGCACTTTGGATTTTGGATTTTCAGATCAGAGATGCTGAGCAAGTATAATGCAAATATTCCAAAATCTGGAAAAATCCAAAATCCAAAACACATCTGGTCCCAAGCATTTCAGATAAGAGATACTCGACCTGTAATAGCAAAACTCACAAATAATGTATACACCTGCATTTAAGCTGCCTTGGAGCAAGAGATTGGGAAGACTTCACTTTTTTACATAATATACTTCTGTATTATTTGAATTTATTATGAATATGTAGTATTACTTTCACAATTCAAAGAAGTAAAGATTAAAAGGACAAACAAAACCTTCTCTGATCCAGATGGAATGATGTTTAGAGCATGGCAATATAAATGATTTCTTTTACTTGTTTATATTATTGAAATTTTACGTTGGGTATCAAATATTACAAAGATATCAACATAGTATGGGAAATTCCTCCCCTGGGTTCCTACTGGCTTGAAAATAAAGAAAAATGTCTCACCCACCGAGCAGAGAAAGCAAGTTGTCCTGAATGCCCACTCTTCCCTTCATCCTTCTTCTATAGCAGTAGAACGCCTGACATTTTAGGCCGGGTACATATTGTCTCAGAATACTCACTACATTTTCCAGCCTTCCTTGCAGCCAGGTAAGGCCATGTGACTAAGTTCTGGCCAAGAGAATGAGAGCACAGGTGATATCTGCAGAGGAAGCTTCTGGGTCATGTCCTTAAAGAACAGGGGTATGCACTCAGAAGAGAAATACAATAAAAACAACACTGAGGTACATTTCCCACCTATCAGACTGGCAAAAACCAAAAGCTTGATGCATACTCTGTTGGTGAAATTGTGTGGAAATAGGCACTCATGCACTCCTGGAGGGAATGTAAAATTACATGACCCCTAGGATGGAAAATTTGGGAATATCTTTAAAATGACAATATATTTTATTTACACTCTGATCTAAGAGCAATCTCACTCCCAAGGAATTTACTCTAAAGATAACCAGTCTGACCAACATGGTGAAGCCCCCTCTCTACTAAAAATACAAAAATTAGCCAGATGTGGTGGTAGGCACCTATAATCCCGGCTACTTGGGAGGCTGAGGCAGGAGAATTTCTTGAACCCGGGAGGTGGAGGTTGCAGTGAGCCGACACTGGGCCATTGCACTCCAGCCTGGGCAACAAGAGCAAAACTCCATCTCAAAAAAAAGAAAAAAAAAAAAGATAACCCCCCAATAATAACAAAAATACAAAGTTATTCATTGTGGCATTATTTGTAATTGCAAAATATTGAAAACACCTAAATGCTCATTTACAGGAGATTTTGATGAAGTAAATTATGATCCGCCCACTCAGTGGGTGCTTCAAAGCTGTGAACAAAGTGAAAAAGATCTCTGTGAGGTCATACAACCTGATTTCCAAGGTATATTGTTGATGTTTTAAAAAACCAAAGAGTATATGCAATATGCAAACACTTGTGTAACATGGGGAAAAATGAAGGAATGGAGTGGAACAGATAGGGGTGAGGGAATAACGCTACTTTGATTTTACCAATTTGTATAATTTTTGCCTTTACAGCCTTGTTAACAGTTTACATATTCAGAAATTAAATTACATCAACAAGAATCAACAACAAGGAAAACAGATCACAAATAAATGGCATTATATTTCAAATAAATAATACAGCGATAAAGAAAAAACAAAAATTAATACAAGTAGCTTTTAAAAATAGTGCTTTGGGCCAGACGTGGTGGCTCACGCCTGTAATCCCAGCACTTTGGGAGGCCAAGGTGAGTGGATCACCTGAGGACAGGAGTTTGAGACCAGTCTGGCCAACATGGTGAAACCCCGTCTCTAATAAAAATACAAAAATTAGGTGGGCATGGTGGCTCATGCCTGTAGTCCCAGCTACTCGGGAGGCTGAGGCAGGGGAATCACTTGAACCCGGGAGGCAGAGGTTGCAGTGAGCCAAGATTGCACCCACTGCACTCCAGCCTGGGAGACAAAGTAAGACTCTGTCTCAAAAACATAAATTAAAAAAAAAATATATATATATATATATGTGTATATATATATATACATATATGTATATATATATAGCATAGGCACACAACAGAATACCACTCAGCAATACAAAGGAATGAGCTACTGATGCATTCTGCAACATGGATGACTCTCAAAAACATCACACTAAGTGTTCAAGAAGTGTGGCACAAAAGGCCATGTATTGTATGATTTCATGTAGATGAAAAGTCCAGAAAATGCAAACCTAAAGAAATAGAAATCAGTGGCTGCTCAGGGCTAGAGGTATATGTGGAGATTAACTGCCAATGGTCAAGAGAGAGAATTCTGAGTGATGGACGTATTCTAAAGTGGATTGTGGTGGTGGGCGCACAACTTTCTAACTGGGGCACTGCCCACTGTTTGCTTTTGCAGTCTCGGGTCCCAGTGCTTCCCTTCATGCACCTTAAATTCTACTTAATGTGTCCCGAAGGAGCCTCATGCTTTCAAGCCTCTGCCCAGGCTATTCCTCCCGTCCAGCAGGTAACTCCTCCCAGTCTCCACCTGTGGCAGTGTTATTTACTCGCCATGGCCCAGAACAAATGTCACTTCCTCTGGCATGCCATCATCAATCCCTTCCTCCTACACAGTCTCGCCGAACATTCTCGCACACCCCTGAGAATCTGCTTCACTCGAATTCTTCAGCTGTGTCTATGCATGGCTGTCTCCTCACCACTCGACAGGGAGCAACTTCAGGGCAGGGACAAGGTCTCATTCTTCTACTGCACCTAGCAAAGTGTCAGGTACATCATAGCATTTGACGAATGATGGATAGATGAGAGGATGGATGGATGGATGGATGCATGGATGATGGATGGACAAAGCTATGAAGAACAAGTGGGACTGAAGCCGATGGAAAATGGACAGGCTGGTTTAAGCAAAGGTGAGCCAGTTGTTAGGAAAGCACTTTTTAAAAGACTAAAAAACAATGACTATGTGTAAAAGACAATGGTGAAGAAGATAACTCGTCTCTTACCTTCATCAAGCAGCCAGCAAACACAAGGAAGCCTTTTGAATGCAGATGCTTGGCCAATGAGAACCCAAATCCAGAGTCACAGCCTGTGACCAGGACAGCTTTGCTGCCAACCTGTTTTACAAGGTCAGATTCCATGTTAGGAACCGGTGGTACAGGGGCAAAGTGACCAGGCCTCTCCACCCTCTGTGCAGTGAGAGTTAGTGCTTCCTGAGTGGCCCAAGCCTGGCCCTCCCTACCTTGTTCTTGTTGTCTGGAGAAGCACCATGGTATAGTGGAAAGGCCAGGTTCTAACCCAGACTCGGCTACCAACCAGCAATGTTGCTTGGGAAAATTACTTCTGCCTTCAGGATCTCATCTACAATCCCCCATGCTACATGTGAGAAACAGAGGTCTTTTTAAAACGCTCAATGTAGCTAGTGATAGAGCTGGAACTGAAACCAGGGCTGAGAGATTCCAGAGTCTAAACTCTTCTTCTTTTTTTTGAGATGGAGTTTGGCTCTTGTTGCCCAGGCTGGAGGGCAATGGCCAGTCTCGGCTCACCGCAAAACCTTCACCTTCCAGGTTCAAGCAGTTCTCCTGCCTCAGCCTCCCAAGTAGCTGGGATTACAGGCATGCACCTCCACGCCCGGCTAATTTTGTATTTTTAGTAGAGATGGGGTTTCTCCATGTTGGCCAGGCTGGTCTTGAACTCCCTACCTTAGTTGATCCACCCACCTCGGCCTCCCAAAGTGCTGGGATTACAGGCGGGAGCCACCGCCCTGGGCCTCCGGAGTCTAAACTCTTAACCCCTAACTTGCTGGGTGGGGCTGGGAGTTCTCGCCCCCCACCTAGGCCTCCAGTGATACCTTCCTGGCTGGGAGGGGCTGGAGTGCCTCATTACTGCTTCCTCCCCACATGGATGGGGGTGTGTGAGCTCATTACTGATGAGGGGCTTTGGGGGAGGGTTAAGTGAGAAAGTGGCTCCCAGTGTCCTGGAAACACTAAGGCCCCACTCTGAGGGTAGCTCAGGGCCTAGGGGCCCAGAAGAAAGGGTTCTGACCATCCAACTGGCTCCCGGGTAGCTGGGCTTCCACTCACCGGCTCCGCCGCACTGGCATAAGTCCGACGGCCAATCGGGATAAAGGAAGTAGAACCAAGCAATAGTGGGCGTCTGCAAGAGAAAAGGAAGCCGTGAGTACAAGGACAGACTAGACAGACCCTCAGCCACACTGGCCTAGAGCAGCACTGGGTGTCTCTCCAGCCCCGGCTCCTGGAGACAGCTTGCTGGTACAACTGAGTAAGAGGCCCTCTTTCCACCAGGGTTGCTGGCTGATAGAAAGTGAGCCAGTATTTGCTATGGCTATGTTTGCCACTGTCCAGGAAGAGCCTTCCTGAGAATAAAGCCAATTCTGAAGCTACTTTTGTTGGGCAGGCTCTGCTAAACCCTGGCCATCCAGTGTCCCACTCCAATAAAGTTCCATTTTCTGCTTTCCAAGATGACATGGATAGGTAATGTTTCAAGCTAATTCAAGTGTGAACTATCCTTGTAGTAGTATAGCTTTGTTAAAGCCTGCTGCAATTTTGATGTCTTAATCCACAGTAGGCTAAGCTTCCTGAGAGTTACTTCAATCATACTTTTTATTTTGAAATAATTGTAGATTCACATGCAATTAAGAAATAATACAGAGAGATGCCAGGTCTTACCTCATTTCCCCTAAGGGTAGTATCTTGCAAAACTGTATTACCATATCACAACCAGGATACTGACACGGATACAATAAAAATACAGAAATTTCCATCACCACAAGGATCCTTCATGTTACCCGTTTATAGCCACACCTACTTTCTTCCCACCCGGCTCCATCTTTAACCACAAATCTGTTCCCCATCTCTGTAATTTTAGAATTTCAAGAATGTTATGTAAATGGCATCATACAGTATGTATCCTTCAGGGGCTGGCTTTTTTCATTCAACATAATTCTCTGGAGATTCATCCAGATTGTTATGTATCAATAATTTGCTCCTTGTTATTGCTAGGTAGTGCTCCATGACACAGGGGTATGACAATTTGCTTAACTATTTACCTACTGAAGGACAGCTGAGTTGTTTCCTGTTTGGGCATATTATGAATAAAGCTGCTTGAACATTCCTACACAGGTTTTTGCGCAAACGTTGAGTTTTCATTTCTCTTGGGTAGGTGCCCAGGGGTGTAATTGCTGGGTCATATGGTAGTTGCAGGTTTAGTTTTTTAAGAAACTGACAAACTGTTTATGAAAGTGGCTATAGTACGCTACAGCCCCAGTGGCAGTGTCTGAACAACCCAGTTTCCCCACAGCCTTGTCGGCATTTGGTGGTGTCACTATTTTCTAGTTTAGCCATGCTGAAAACTGTATCATGATATTTCGCTGTGGTTTTAATCTGCATTTCCCTAATGGCTAATGATGTTGAACATCTTTTCATGTTTATTTGTCACCTGTCTTAGTCTGTTTGGGCTGCTATAACAAAATATCATAGACCGGGTGGCTTACCAACAACAGACTTATATTCCTTACAGTTCTGGAAGCTGGGGAGTTGAAGTGCAAAGTGCCAGCAGACTGTGTTTGGTGAGGGCCCACTTTCTTCATAGACAGATGTCTTCTCACTGTAACCTCACATGGCAAAGGTCTCTTTTATAAAGACACTAATCCCATCCATGAGGACTCCACCTTTATGACCTAATCACTTCCCAGGGCCCCTGCCTCCTAATACCAATACCTTGGGGGTTAGGATTTCAACACAGGAATTTGAGGAGAATGCAAACATTCGGACCATAGCACCCTATGTTTGGTAAAATGCCTCTTCATGTCTTTTGCCCATATTCTATTGAATCGTTCATTCTTCTACCCCGTTGAATGTTGAGAATTCTTCAGATGTCCTAGCTGCTAGTCCTTGGTTACATATGTGGTAGGCAAAATTTTTCTCCTAGCCTATGACGTGCCTTTTTATCCTCTGTAGCAGGGTCTACTGCAGGGGCAAAAGTATTTCACTTGGACTCGGAATCAGGAAACCAGGGGTTGTAACCCAGACTCTGCCACCAACCAACAACGTTGCTTAGAGAAATTACTTCTGCCTTCAGGATCTCAGTGTCCTCGTCTACAATCATCCATGCACCACGTGGGACAACAGAGGAATTTTCAATGCCCAATGTAGTTAGTGATAGAGCTAACTAGTGAAACCAAGGCTGAGAGAGTCCAGAGTCTAAACTCTTAACCCCTAAATAAAGTCTAGTATTTTCCTATTATGCGGCATGCTTTTGATGTCAAGTCTCAGAGCTCTTTGCCCCCAGGACCCAAAGATTTTCTTCTATGTTCTTTTCTAAAAGTTTTATAGTTTTGGCTGGGATGGTGGCTCATGCCTGTAATCCCAGCGCTTTGGGAGGCTGAGGTGGGCAGATTGCTTGAGCTCAGGAGTTCGAGAACAGCCCGGGCAACATGGCGAAACCCCATCTCTACAAAAAATACGAAAATTAGTCAGGTGTGGTGGCTCACGCCTTTAAGTCCCAGCTACTTGGAAGGCTGAGGCAGGAAGATCAACTGAGCCCAGGAGGCAGAGGTTGCAATGAGCTGAGATTGCACCACTGCACTCCAGCCTGGGGGACTGAGGGAGACCCTGTCTCAAAAAAAAAAAAAGTTTTATAGTTTTATGTTTTACTTCTTAAGTCTATGATCCATTAATTTTTGTATAAGACGTCAGACTTAGGTCTAAGTTTTGTGTCCATTTGCTCCAGCGCCATTTTTTGAAAACGTTATCTTTCCTCTATTGAATTGCTTTTGCACTTTTGTCAAAAATTGGTTGGGCATATTTGGGTGGGCCTATTTCTGGATTTTCTATTTTGATTCATTGATATATGTGCTGCTACTTTATTTTTCTTCTTCAAAATTCTTTTAGCTATTCTATTTCCTTTGCCTTTCCATATAAATTTTAGAGTAATCTTGTCTTCATCTATAAAAAATATGACTGGGATTTTTATAGAAAGTGTGCTAAACCTGTATATCAATTTGGGGAAAGTTGGCATCTTTACTTTGTTGAGTCTTCCAATTCCTGAGTACAGTATGGGGTTTCCATTTACATAGATCTTTGATTTCTTTCATCAGTGTTGTGTCGTTTTCAGCATTTAAACCATACATGCGGCCGGGCATGGTGGGTCATCCCTGTAACCCCAGCACTTTGGGAGGCCGAGGCAGGTGGATCAACTGAGGTCAGGAGTTCAAGACCAGCCTGGCCGACATGGTGAAACCCTGACTCTACTAAAAATACAAAAAACCAGCCGGGCATGGTGAGGGGGTGCCTGTAATCCCAGCTCCTCGGGAGGCTGAGGCAGAAGAATCACTTGAACCCAGGAGGCGGAGGTCAAAGTGAGCCGAGATCGCACCATTGCACTGCAGCCTGGGCAACAAGAGTGAAACTCCGTCTCAAAAAAACCCAACCAAACAAACAAAAACAAAACAAAAAACAAATCCTACACATGCTGTGTTATGTGTAACATGTTTGTTACATCTATTTCTCTCTTTTTTTGAGCAACTACAAATGGTATTGTTTTGTTTTGTTTTATTTTATTTCATTTTATTTTATTTTTTGAGACAGGGTCTCACTCTGTTGCCTAGGCTGGAGTGCGGTAGCATGATCTCGGCTCACTGCAGCCTCCGCCTGCCACACTCAAGCAATCTTTCCACCTCAGCCTCCCCAGTAGCTGGGACTACAGGCATGCACCACCAGGTTCAGCTAATTTTTGTATTTTTTGCAGAGACAGGGTCTCACCATGTTGCCCAGGCTGATCTTGAACTCCTGGACTCAAGTGATCCTCCCACCTCATCCTCCCAAAGTGCTGGGATTACAGGCATGAACTACCACATCCGGTCGAAACTGTATTGTTTTAAAATTTGATATCCATATGTTCATTGCTAGTATACAGAAATGCAATTGATTTTTGTGTGTTATCTTGTATCTTGTAACCCTGCTAAACTTACTTATTAGTTCTAGGAGTTTTTTTGTGGATGCCTTGGGATCTTCTATGTACACAATCATGTAATCTGCAAATATGGGGTCTTATTCCTTCTTTTCCAATCTATATGACTTTTACTTCCATTTCTTACCTTATTGCACTGGCTAGAAATTACAGCACTATGTTGGATAAGCGGTGAGAACTAATATCCTTGGTTTGTTCCCCATCTTAGGGACAAAGCATTCAGTCTCACCCTTAAGTATGTTAGCTGAAGGCTTATGGTGTTTACCCTTTATCAAGTTCAGGAAAATCCCCCTCTATGTCTATTTTTCCTGAGATTTTTAAAATCATAAATGTGTGCTAAATTTTGCATCTTCTGCATTGATAGAGAGCATCATGTAAGTTTTCTTCTTTTAGTTCATTAATTTGGTGGATGAGATTAATTTTCAAATAATGAACCATCCTTATATCCCTGGAACAAACCCACTTGTTCTGTCCTACTGCACTGGTCATTTGGCTAGAGAGAGCAAATTTTTGTTGGGGCTTTTTGCGTCTGAGCTTACTGGTATTTCTGGGTTGCCGGCTGCTTCAACTCCAAGTCTGGGACATAAGAAACAAAAAGAAAACCTAGAGAACTCATCACTGCACCATTTCTTGGGTCCTGAGGTCCTTAGCTGGTCTGCCTTCTTCTCTCTGCCTTTTAAGAGGCTTTTTATATATTACATACTTACTAAATTATTTATAATTTATGTAATATCCAGGGTTTTTAGTTGTACTTGACAGAAAGAATAGAGAAAAGTACATCTACTCCATCTTCCCAGAAGCGGAGGTCCTGTTAGTTTTTAAAGGATATTAACCCAGTAATGACAAATGAAGGAGGTAGGGGTGAATGAGCAGGTGGTAACAGGGGAAAAGAGATGGGAGATAGACTTACCTTTTCTGTATACCATTTGACGCCATTCAAATTTTGTTTTTTGTTTTGTTTTGTTTTGTTTTTGAGACAGAGTTTCACTCTTGTTGCCCAGGCTGGAGTGCAGTGACACGATCTCAGCTCACTGCAACCTCCGCCTCCTGGGTTCAAGCGATTCTCCTGCCTCAGCCTCCTGAGTAGCCGGGACTACAGGCTTGCATCACCACACCTGGCCAATTTTTGTATTTTTAGTAGAGACGGGGGTTCACCATGTTGGCCACACTGGTCTCGAACTCCTGACCTCAGGTGATCCGCCTGCCTCGGCCTCCCAAAGTACTGGGATCACAGGCATGAGCCACGGCGCCCGGCCTGCCATTCAAATTTTGTACCATGTAAATATATTACCTATTCAACATATTAAGCTTTTAAAAAATTATTAAAATATGTTCTTAAAGAACATTAAATTCACTAGACAGAAATGAGGGTTCACTAGGAAAACCTGCCAAGGTAACCCCCTGTCCTTTTGTACTGCCACAGAGGAGTCTGGATTTTAAGTCCTTGTGCACGGATGGTCTCAAGTGATCAGGATAGTGTGGTCGGTACACCCAAAGCTTGTGAATGACTCCATCCAAAGAGCATCAGTCTGTATTCCCATGACCCCCAGTGTTGCTCTGCAGAAAGAATGAGAAGGTGTCATTGAAACCACCATTGCAAAACACTGAGACAGTGAAAGAGAGCTGACCTAACCAACTCCATCTTGCTTCTAACCTCCAAGCCGTCCTTTTTCATTCCTGGCTGTGGGCTGAGCTAGCTTTGGGAGGAACTTAGTTTACAGTTGTGTTTTTTTGAGATGGAGTTATATTTGAGATGAGTTATATTTTTTTGAGATAAAGTTCCACTCTTGTCACCCAGGCTAGAGTGCAGTGGCGCGATCTTGGCTCGCTGCAACCTGGGTTCAAGCAATTCTCCTGCTTCAGCTTCCCAAGTGGCTGGGATTACAGGCACCCACCACCACGCCTGGCTAAGTTTTGTATTTTCAGTAGAGACAGGGTTTTGCCATGTTGGCCAGGCTGGTCTCGAACTCCTGACCTCAGGTGTTCCGCCCACCTCAGCCTCCCAAAGTGCTGGGATTACAGGTGTGAGCCACCACGCCCAGACTATAGTTTATAGTTTAAAACAAAGATGGCAGCCCTTTCCCAAAACAAACCTCCTTCTTGCCTGGGGATCAGACTGTCTTTGTAGGACTAACAAATTAGGCACCAGATTACAAATTATAAACCATAATTTATAGCCATGCAGCTAGAGGCTACAAGATTCTGACCCTCCCTACACTGCTCCTAAGATCAGCGCTTGGGATACTTTGCAGACCCTGCACTGGATGGATCAGCTGGCACCACCCAGGTGGACAAACTGGCTCATCTGCTCTTGTGGCCCCGACCCAGGAACTGACTCAGCGCAAGAAGACAGCTTCAATTTCCCATGATTTCCTCTCCGGCCCAACCAATCAACACTCTGTCACTGGCCTTCCCCCACCCACCAAATTATCCTTAAAAACTCTTGATTCCTGAATGTTTGGAGAGACTGATTTGAGTAATAATAAAACTCTGGTCTCTTGCACAGCCGGCTCTGCGTGAATTACTCTTTGTCTACTGCAAGTCCTCTGTCTTGATAAACCGGTTCTGTCTAGGCAGTGAGCAAGGTGAAGCCATTGGGCAGTTACATCCCTAGTGGAACTAGATGATTTGTTCCTGTCTCCTTAAGGGCCACACCCTTAGCACTTTTTTTTTTAGACAGCGTCTCTCTCTTTCACCCAGACTGGAGTGCTGTGGCACAACCTTGGCTCACTGCAACCTCCGCCTCCCGGGTTCAAGCAATTCTCGTGCCTCTGGCTCCCAAGTAGCTGGGATTATTATAGGCATGTTCCACCACGCCCTGCTAAATTTTGTGTTTTTGGTAGAGATGAGGTTTCACCATGTTGGCCAGGCTGGTCTCGAACTCCTGGCCTCAAGTGATCCACCTGCCTCTGCCTCCCAAAGTGCTGGGATTACAGGTGTGAACCACCATGCCCAGCCTACCTGACATTTTTAAAAGTAACAAAAAGGTTGTGGCCGGGAGCGGTGGCTCACACCTGTAATCCCAGCACTTTGGGAGGCTGAGGCGGGCAGACACTTGAGGCCAGGAGTTCGAGACCAGCCTGGCCAACATGGTGAAACCCCATCTCTACTAAAAATACAAAAATTAGCAGGGCGTGGTGGCACACGCCTATAATCCCAGCTACTCAGGAGGCTGAGGCAGGAGAATCATTTGAGCCCGGGAAGCAGAAGTTGCAGTGAGCCAAGATTGTGCCACTGTACTCCAGCCTGGGCGAGAGTGAGACCTGTCTTAAAACAAAAACAAAACAAAACAAGTAACAAAAAGGTCTAGGCAAGAGAGCTTATTTCAGATTGACTTGCTGCCCGTCTTTCTCTAAACTGTCTCTCCATTGTCAAATATATTCAGACCTAAAATTAACTGAGTCTGGGTGTATTATACCAGGCTCTACCACTTATACCCAACAGTCAATGGCGCATTTCTACTCTTCCAGAGAGCAGAAGGTTCTATCTCGACTCACCTGCCCCCCCCACAGCAATACCCTGACAAGGTGGGTAAGGTGGGGCTGTGAATACTCCTGGGCGGGCAGCTCCAGCTAGCATGACAGTGCCTCCTGAGCACTGCTGGACTTCTCGGCCTTTCCTTCTTGGCCACTGCTGGGATTGCCTCATCCTACTCTAATTCCTCTTCCCTCAATTTGCAGCTCTTACAGTCGCTGTGGGATCCCCATCTTAGGGCTGCTTCTCAATTTGAAGGGGCCTTGGGACCAGGAAGACCTTACTGCCTCAGCTCTCAAAAGTTAGTTAACAAGCACTTGGGGAGCTTGTTAAAATGCAAACTCCCAGGTCCCTCCCGTTGACATTCTGATTCAGTAGGAAGGGGTGGCCCCAGAAATCTGCCTGTGTCATTCACCTCAGGGGATTCCAGTGCAACAGGTCCTGGGGGAAGAACTGGTTCATCTAGTCCACAGCAGTTGTTCTCTGGGCCCCTGTTTATTAGAATCACTTGGAAATGTGATCATGGTCGTGTGGTTATATTACTAAAACGAGTTCTTATCATTTAGAGATAAATATTAAAATATTTGCAAATGAAATACCATGTCCAGGAATTGCTTCGAAAATTAATCTGGTATGGGGAGGGGGAGGAAAATGGAGATGTAGCTGAAACAAGATTGGCCATGTGCTGATAATTATGGAAACCCAGGTGACAGGTACACCAGGGATCAATATACAGCTTTCTACTTTTGCGTATGTTTGAGATTCTCCATAGAATGATTTTTTTTTTCTTTTTAATCACAGGGAAGTTCTTTAAAGTATTCCTTTGCCTAGCCTCACTCCTGACCCAGAGGTGAGGCACAGACACTTTTTCCCTCACTGTTCTCTAGGTGATTCTAACCCACAACCAAGGTTCAATACCACTGCCCTACAGGAAAAGAAAAACAAAGACCTATCCCCAGGGGGTTCCCCTTTGAGCCCCTTGAATGCCAAAGCCCCAATATCCCTGTGAACAGCTGGAGGCCACAGCCCAGCTGAGCTGTGACAGACACTGCTCTTTGCCTGCCAGCATCCGTTCTTCTCATCTGCCTCACTAACAAGAATCTGGATTTTGTCCAGGGACAGCAGTGCGCCCAACGCTTTCCAGATTACCACCCACCTAGTGGTCACGTGACCTGCCTCTGGCCAATAGGCTGCAAGCGGAGGTCGACCACAATTGCTGAGTTTTGCTTTCCCGATGCAGGTGCGTTGCTTGTCCCTGCCTGGACTGAGGCTGGAGGTGAAGGACTATCACAGTATCCTGGGATCCTGAGCTGCCTTCAGAATAACACAGCAGAAAAAAACAAGGAGCCTGGGCTCCCCAAAGCCACAATGGCCCTAGACTTCTAGGGGTTCCTGCTATTCTTAGTGTGAGGCAATCCCAGCTCATACACTGGTCTCCCAGGGCTAAGAATGCCCATGAGGCGTTAGGCCCAAAACCAGCACATAAAATAGTGTGTATTTCCCTGGAGGGTCTCCTCTGCCCAGGAGGGTCCTGCAGTAACAGCAAGCTGCTGGCCAACCAAGCCACTAACACCAACAGCTATGCCGGTCTCAGTCTCTCGGGAGGCACAAGTTAAGCTCGAGATGGTCAACACGCTTTCTTTCTTGCTTGCTTTTTTTTTTTTTTTTTTTGAGACGGAGTTTTGCTCTTGTCGCCCAGGCTGGAGTGCAATGGCACGATCTCGGCTCACCGCAACCTCTTCCTCCCGGGTTCAAGCGATTCTCCCGCCTCAGCCTCCCAAGTAGCTAGGATTACAGGCACACGCCACAGGCCCGGCTAATTTTGTATTTTTATTAGAGACGGGGCTTCTCCATGTTGGACAGGTTGGTCTCAAACTCCCGACCTCAGGTGATCCGCCCGCCTCAGCCTCCCAAAGTGCTGGGATTACACGTGTGAGCCACCGCGCCCCCACCGGTCAACACACTTTCTGAAGGGAGAGCCCAAAGGGGTGGCTGTGAGGTTCAGAAGACGAGAGCTTCCTGATTTTTGCCCTAACCCAGGAACAGAATGAGAGGGAGGAAGTGGTGCAGTCTGGCACCTCCCCAAGGCCCTGTGGAAGAGCCTGCTGTCCTCAGCGCCCTGGTCATCCCGGCCGCATTTGAGAGCGCTCCCTATGCTGGCCAGGGCGTTCATTCTGGCTTCTTCTCTATCTTACCAGTCTGTGTGTCTGTGCCTTTTATTGTCCCCATCAGGAATCAGAAACAATAACCAGTAACCCAGCTTTCTGCTGAGAGGAGCCATGAGTCCATTTGAATCTAACAAGACGGGGCTTAGGAGGAACACATATCAGTGGCACAGGTGCAGCTCGGGAGAAATATGGCCTCACGGCAGCATCTGTGAAAAAAATTTAGCCTGTTTGACCATGAATCCCGCATGTGATGTGGCAGCCAAAAGAAGCTATGTGAGCCTAGGCTGGACAGGAAAGAAACTAGGATAGGGGAGGCAAGAGCCCTTCTCCACTCTGCCCGGGTCAGGCCACCCTGGGAGCACTATGTGCTGTACCTGGCCTGGCAGAGCTGAGCACTGGTGATCACAGCCCAGGAGGCAGGGTCCCAGATGTGAGCAAGGCACCTGCCCCAGGGATGCCAGAGTCTTCTGGCAAAGCCAGAAATCTGAGAAATCTGAAATCGGAGGGCCATGGGGAGCCAGTAAGCACAGCAGGTTGTCAAGTGTTGGGGTTGGGGGCCTTATCCAGCCACTCCTGGGAAGGTTTTCATCTGGACGGAGCCATGTGTACTGGGTGATGCCTGCTCTGGGCATGTCAAGAGTGGTGGGTGTTTTGTTCAGGCACCACACCTTAAGAAGGAGCACAGGCAAAGTGCAGACCATTCAGCGGGGAGACCTGGATGATAGTGGGGAAACCATGAGAGATAAACAAGGAGAAACCATGTGGGTGGAGTAAGAGTAGACAAGTGGGTGGGTATTGAGGTGGCACAGTGCCCCTGGGGAGAAGGGAATAACTCGCTCAGTGTGAATGCAGGGGCAGACCCAAGAACAAGGAGTGGCATTAACAGGAGAAAAGATTTCTCCTCAATAAGGAGATGTCCAAACACAGGAGGCCTGCTATGAGAGGTACTAACCTCTCCATCACTGGACATATTCAAACAGAGGCGATAAAGTCACTTGGTAAGGATGCTATCAGCAAGATTCACTCACAGGTGCAGACTGGAGTATGAGGCCCTTTCCAACTGAGACTCAAGCAAAATGATCAGGCCAAAGTTTTCCCTCTGAGGGACTGTGGGATCCTAGGCATGGCGATTACCCACCATGCCAGCCTCCTTCTGTACCTGGGTCCCCCTCCACGCTGCCCATACCTTCACCCTACGACATTGACTCTACTCTGACAGCTCTGCGGCTGCCCAACCACCACCCAGGCCCCTCAACCTAACCAAGTTACTTCTCAGTCCATCCAGAAGATTCCAAATTCCCTTTGACAATCTTTCTTTCCCCTCAAGTGAGCCAGGAGCTTGACTAATGCCTCATTTTCCTTACATTTAAGAACAAAACCTTTGTAAAAGTATTTTAACTTCATGTGGGATTATCTTCTCCTCTATAAAAAAACTCCAGAAATCTCTAAAAGCCATGTTGGAGACAGATCTTGCCATCTTTATGAATCACTCACTGAAAAAACAATTGCAGCAAGTCACCTTCTTTCAAAAGCCCTTCAACAAAGCCGAGCTCCGTCCCCGCTCTGATGGCAGGGGCCTCCGCCGTCCCCGCTGTGATGGCAGGGGCCTCCTGCCGCCTGTGCCAATGGGGCATTCTAAACTCTTCTCATGTGGGGTCCTCAGGTAGGTGGAGCCCCAGCTCCAAGCCATGCCTCTGTATCTCTCAGAAATAAATTCAAGCAAATGCTGCTAAAAGCCGGGCCGGGCGTGGTGAATCCCAGCACTTTGGGAGGCCGAGGCAGGCGGATCAGTTGAAGTCAGGAGTTCAAGACCAGCCTGGCCAACATGGCAAAACCCCATCTCTACTAAAAATACAAAAAATTAGCCGGGTGTGGTGGCACATGCCTGTAGTCCCAGCTACTTGGGAGGCTGAGGCGGGAGAATTGCTTGAACCCGGGAGGCAGAGGTTGCTCTGAGCCAAGAGGTTGCCACATTGCCTGGGCAACAGAGTCTCAGTCTAAATGCATGTTCCATTAAACATATTATTGGCATAGAAATATCAGTGTTCTAGATCCTGGGACTTTGAATTTAACATAATCTTCAATTTCACTCCCCTCAAATTCACTCCCCTCAAATATAACAGAAAGAAAAAGGTATTTCTTGTTTTTTCCTTGCTCAGACTGCAAAAGAGTAAAATGTGGCAGCAGAGCCCACTGAATCCCCTGGGAAAAGGCAATTCCAGAAGCTCTCAAAGAAGAACAGCTGCTTGTCTAATTTGTACTTATATAATGCTTCCTCGAAATCACACAAACGATGCGGTGAAGGTTTGGGACATCTCGGCTAACTGATTTCATGCATAAAGTTTTAAAAGAGCAGTTATCAAAATAATGTACCTCCTGGCACGACGGGCTGAGAAAAGCACCGCTTCACTGCCGCAGGCGTCTTGCCACACAAACCCAAACTGAGAGACATTGTACAACATAACCAGCGAGAGTGTCAAGGTCGTGAGCGAAAAAGACTGAAGACCTGTCCCCGGCAGGAAGAAACTAAAAACACATGACACCTCCGAGCCATGTGGGATTTGGGATTCGATCCTGGACCAGAAAAAGGTCCATCAGCAGCCACTTGGCAACACTGGAATAAGGTCTGTAGACTAGTTAATAGTATTCTATCAATGGTAATTTCCTGATTTTGATCATTGCAGTATGGTTTTGTAAGATGTTAACATTTAGGGAAGTTAGCTGAAGGGGATCCAGAAACCCTTTCCAACGATTTTTGCAACTTTTGTATAAGTCCAAAGTTATTTCAAAATAAAAAGGGTTTTAAGAAGTGGTTATGGCCAGGCACAGTGGCTCATGCCTGTAAACCTAGCACTTTGGGAGGCCAAGGCGGGTGGATCACCTGAGGTCAGGAGTTCAAGACCAGCCTGGCCAACCTGGTGAAACCCCGTCTCTACTAAAAATATAAAAATTAGCTGGGCATGGTGGCAGGTGCCTGTAATCCCAGCTACTCAGGAGGCTGACGTGGGAGAATCACTTGAACCCAGGAGGCGGAGGTGGCAGTGAGCCGAGATCACGCCACTGCACTCCAGCCTGGCAACAGAGTGAGACTCCATCAAAAAGAAAAAAAAATAAGTGGTTATGAAAGATATTCCTTTCTGCCCTGTGTGCCCTGGGAAAATGTCTTCCCAGGACACCTCTGAGTTTCCTCTGCTGGGAGACAAAGGTATTGAGAGACATCTCTGAGAATCAGGCCTCATCACCGCCTACACTGTCCATGTGTGAAAACCTCTGCCTGCTCAGAAAGTGTCCCCTCAAGGCCACCACCACCTCTGGTTGCTTACCTTGCTCCATTTTCTCTATCACAGGCACTTAGGGTTTTTCCTGGGAGCCGTGACAGGGGTCTGGAGAGGCGGGTGGCCAGCATGGTAGCAACGGGTGTTAGAATGGCCCAGTTCCTCCCGGTGGTTCTGAAACATAAATGCACCCTCAGCATTACTTTGTTGCCTTCCGGGCTTTAATCAGGAGCAGTCATGTTCCTTTCAGGTTGTGAAAGTCAAACTGGGCTGCATCTGTTCCACCCAGCTCCAGTCCTGGTACCACCAGGTAGTCCACTCTGGTTCCTCTCTCAAGCTGCAGCTTCACAATGGAAAGAGTCAGGAGCCAGGGTGCCTGGAAGCCTGGGTTCTGGCTCTAGCTGTGCCACCAAACACACTGGGCAACCCTGGGCAAGTCATCACCCATTCATAATGTGAGCAGGTTGGCCCAGATCAGTGATCCTCAAACCCGCCAACCACTGGGAGACTCGGGGACCTAACCCCTCAGGGATTCTGACTCGGTAAGTCCTATTCCTCTAACCTGCTGAAACACCCACCTGTGGTGCCCCAGGGCATCAGCCTTCATTCCTGAGGTGCCCACCTGCCCCTGCAGGCAGCTTGTCCTCATGCCACATAGCATCTGACTCAGCCGTCCACCTCTTTCCCCCATGCGAACAAACAAGGGGGCTCTGGCTCTGAGGCTGAATTAATCAGTAATTCATTATAGCATAGAGTTTGGAGCTGCCAAATAAGAGACTCTTGTAATTAACACACACACACACACCCTCCCCGCTCCCTCACCATTTGAGGTTAAAGCAACCTTATTGCAACAAGAATCTCTTGGTAACACCTTAAGGCTGCTAGGCACCACGACTCTTCAGCATTATTGACCGCTGATCAGCACGGGCATGCGTTGCCCTCCTGTTCTGTTAATAGTGATTCCTCCAGGCCTAAGGGAAGGAAGGCGGGCTGGTAAATGGGTTCCAGCCTCTCCTTTGCCTACCTGGCTGTAGTCTGTCATACTGTTCCTGGTAATAAGGTACTGCCTGGGAGGCTCCTCCCCTGCCTGTTTGCTGCCACCCCAAACCTTACTGATAACCAGCCACCTGGGCCCAGAGGTCAGCAGTGTTAACTGAGCAACCACTGCCATGCACTCTGCTGGAAGCAGGTGGAGGCGTTTAATCTGTTTAATCCTCAGGAAAGGAAAGCAGGCAGAAACCTCTCTGGTGTTACCTTTCCAGAACTACAGTAAACTCTCGCTTGTACTCCTGCCCCTATTTGCCACACCCCCATTCTCAGCACAGCAGCCCAAGAAACCTTTTTAACACCGGTCAAGCTATGCGACTTCCGTGTTTAAAGCCAACTTTCCATGCCCGTGGGGGCTGGCCTCTCCCTCCCTGGAGGCCCCTAGCTCACTGGGCCACCCTCCTCTTTGCTCACTGCGTCGCAGCCACCACTGACTCCAAGAACTCCTTGCCCACGTGAGGGCGTTCCTGCCTCAGAGTACCGGCTCCTGCTCTGCCCTCATCCTGGATGCTGAGTCCTCTGTCTCCCTCACTAAAGTGGCTCCCATTCAACACACAGGTTGCTCTCTGTAAGATCACTCTCATAGCAGCTACCTTAATTCAAAATTATGTTTATTTACTTTATCTTCTACTAGATCCTAAGCTCAGTGACACCAGGAATCCTCTCCACCTGGTTCACCACCAAATCCTCAGTGCCTAGAACGAGCCTGACGCAAAGGAGGCACTCTGAGTCCCTGGGGAGTGGATGGGAGCTGAGCGGGCTCCCGCAGGGCAGTCTGGGGGTGGAAAGTCGGCCTGTGGCCACAAAAGAAGTTTCCATGGAAAGCTCCTTGCAGAGAGCAGCAGAATGGAGCCCAGACTGGCTTTTTATGGTTTTATGGAAGGCACAGGCCCACGTTGGCTCAGACTTTTTCATGAGGCACCCCCTCCCACCATCTAAGTACTGACCAGCTGGCTAAGCACACACATCTCTACCTCCTCCCTCCAAGACCCAGGACCAGAGTCTGAGGTCACCATCACTGGGAAACTTCCCATCCAGTCATCTATAATTAAAGTCCTTTCCACCCCTTAGCTCAATGCCTGTGGCAGAAAATGCTTTAATATGATCTCCAAATAGACAGCTGCTTTCCATTTTGTTTTCCTTGAAGTCAGCCATATCTAAAAGTACTAAAGCCAAAATAATTAAAAGTGCATAAAAACTCAGTCCCTTGGCCAGGCGTGGTGGCTCACGCCTGTAATCCCAGCACTTTGGGAGGCTGAGGCAGGTGGATCACCTGAGGTCATGAGTTCGAGACCAGCCTGGCTGACATGGTGAAACCCTGTCTCTACTAAAAATACAAAAAATAGCCAGGCGTGGTGGCGGGCGCCCACAGTCCCAGCTACTCGGGAGGCTGGGGCAGGAGAATCGCTTGAACCCAGGAGGCGGAGGTTGCAGTGAGCTGAGATCACGCCACTGCACTCCAGCCTGGGTGACAGAGCAAGGCTCCGTCTCAAAAACAAAAATAACAAAAAAAAACAAAAAAAACACAAAAAACTCAGTCCCTTGAACAATGCACTGTTCTCAATGTAGTCTGTTGCATGCGTGTTTCTTAAACATGCAGCTATTTCCACTGCAGGGCTCCCAAAGACTCTTCAGGGTAGCTGTCTGCCATCTTCATGTTTTGTGCCAGGCCTTATTCTCTGTAAATATTAAGTTCTCAAACTTCACACACCACTTTCTTGCCTTTTAGTTTGGGAACAGAAATGGCTGTGGGAGGCGGGTGCTCAGTCTCCTCAGCCTTGAAAGTCAAGTAATTAGTTGCCCTGAGGTGACTGAGCACAGGGGGCTTGACTCCCAGGGACCAAACTCATAAGATACTGTCACAAAATCACGATGCTCACATATCAACCTGGAATCTTGGAGACATTTTTTAATGCTAGAAACACTTGGGGCTTCTCTCAAGGGCCCGCTCCACTGTCAAGGTATAACACATGGAAAGCACTCCTACTCCAGAAAAAAAGAAAACAGCGTGCGCATCCTTCCTCACTGCTGGGCTCACTGTGTTCCATTCCAACATGACCATCTTGCAGAGGTCACAGCTGGGGGCTTTCCTGTGAGGCAGCAGCAGGGGCTCCCCTCAAAGGGGCAGGCATTCCCAGTACTAACATTCTCAGCAGAGGCAAGGTATCCGCAGCAAACCGGGTCACACAAGGCAGGAAAGAGAACTCAGGTGTTTCTGGACATGAAGCCTACATGGGCCCTTGCCACTCCCAAGTGGGAGGCAAAGGTCCTGCCCCCGAGGAGGGCAAGCTGGGGTTATGCAGGGAAACAGCCAATGCAGAGACCTCACACTGAAGAGCTTCAGACCAGCAAGTTTCTGTGTCAGCTTCCCAAATCCTACAACTGGCAGCCTACCTAAACATGTTCTACTTGGCTGATTTGTTTGGCCAGCCTGCTGTTTTAAAAAGCAGTGTAACTAGGCAGCTAAGCTATGCTTGAACTCAATACAAACAGTTTGTACTTACTATGTTAAAACTATCCATATCATCTTTGTTAATTGCCTGGACACTATGGGCATTTGAGTTTTGAGATTCCTGACCATATATATCTATATATGCACTATAATCAAATAACTATTATATATATATTTGGCCATTCCTCTTCCGAACATTTCGTAGAGTCTTGCTTGAAAGTTCCAACCCAGCTCAGCTATACGTGGGAGCTTCCTTGAGGTCATGCAAACGGGAAACCTGACAAGTTCTCAAGCCCTCATTCAAAAAGACACCTAACATTCCTTAGAGAAGTAACCATTCTCAAACAAAAGTCAGAAATAATTACACAGGAACATCAAGTGATATAGTAGACAGTGTTCTCACCACCACTGTATCATACATGCAGAGATGACACTCACATGGCTCGTTTCACAGGGACCTTCAATAAAAGCCAAGGGTCTAACATTAGGCACACCCAATGCAGACACCTTGATCGTCCTGAGAGACATTCCAGTCACCAGATTAGGCTTCGGTGGCGACCAGTTCTCCTCCGATAACACACCACATACACTCTGCAGTGACTACCTTTCGGGGGTCTGTCCTGCTCACCTGATGTCCCCTCCTCTCAGACCTGCCCCTCCCTCATAGGATTTGGCCTCTGCAGCTGCAGAGACTATGCTTTGGTCACGGAGGACTGAGCCAGGAAGAGACACCAGACCCAAGGTGAGCCCATTGTTCTGTCCCCTGGCACCGTGAGAGAATGCGAACCATGCTCTGTGGCGCAGGGCCATGCAATGGCGCTGCTGGAGGACGGCAGCTACACTCCACTGGGCCCTGAAGCCACAGAGAGAGGGAGAAAGCCGATCTGCAGGGGGTGGGGGGATAAGATGCTCATGCAGAAAGCAGCAGGGGTGGAGGTGGAGGGAGGGAGGGAGAAAAGCAACAGCAGCAGCAGCCGCCTCCCATCTGCCCCCCAGCTCCAGAAGCCATGCTGTGCCTTTACAGTCTCTGTGTAATTTAAGCAGGCTGGACGTTTCTGCCACTTGCCACCAAATCAATAGTAGCTAAAACTGAAGGCAGAACACTATTATTTTTAACTTTTTATTTTTATGGGTAGGTCGTAGTTCTATATATTTACGGGGTACTATTTTGATATAGGCATACAATGTGTAATAATCACCTGAGGGAAAATGGAGTATCCACCCCCTCAAGCATTTCTCCTTTGTGTTACAAACAATCCAATTATACTCTTTTAGTTATTTTTATATGTGCAATTAAATGATCATTGACTATAGTCGCTGTGTTATGCTAGCAAATACTAGTTCTTATTCATTCTCTTTAACTTTTTGGTACCCATTGACCATCCCATCTTCTCCCCACTGCACAGACCCTCACTACCTGTCCCAGCCTCTGGTAACCATCATTCTACTACATCTCCATGAGTTCAATTGTTTTAATTTTTAGCTCCTACAAATAAGTGAGAACATGCAAAGCTTGTCTTTCTGTGCCTGGCTTATTTCACTTAACATAATGACCTCCAGTTCCATCCACGTTGTTGCAAATGACAGATCTCATTCTTTTTTTCTGGCTGAATACTACTCCATTGTGTATATGTACCACATTTTCTTTATCCATTTATCTGCTGATGGACAGTTAGGTTGCTTCCAAATCTTAGCTATTGTAAAAAGTGCTGGAACCAACATGGGAGTGCAGATATCTCTTCAATATACTGATTTCCTTCCTTTTGGGTATATACCCAGCAGTGGCACTGCTGGATCCTATGGTAGCTCTATTTTTTGTTTTTGGAGGAACCTACAAACTATTCTCTGTAGTGGTTGTACTAATTTACATTCCCACCAACAGCATATGAGGTGTATTAATTCTCAGTTTTGACCCCTATTCTGAGAATGCCTCATTTATAATGACCTTATAACGACACTGGAACCTGTGCTTCCCCCATTCCACTCCTCTTCTGTCCTTCCCCAAGACAAAGTGTTACCCGAGCTGTCAAAACTGCCATAATTACAACTGCCAGATCAAGTGGGCATTTTTTCACTAGGAGAACAGGGCTTGCCTACCAAATTAAAGGCAGGCCACTAAACAACGGAGTCTCAGGACTCTGTTCTTGGTCTGTTCTCCGCACCATGACGAGCACTCATAGCTTTAAATACGATTCACATGCCGCCAACTCCCGAAGGTTGATCTCCAACCCAACCTTCTCCCCTGAACTCAGACAACTGCGCATCTAACATCTCCACTTGAATGTTTACTACGTATCTCAAATGCAACCTGTGCAAAACTGAGCCTGTGCTATTGTCCTGCAGACCTGTTCCTCTAAATCTTCCTCATTCTTGACTCCCCTTTCCTGCACACTCCACGGCCCAGTGCTCGGCAAGTCCTATCAATGCCACCTTCACATATATCTAGGATCCTCCGCTACCAGCCTAGTCCAAGCCTTCATCCCTTCTTGCCTGGATTATTGCAGTAGCCTCCCAACTAGACTCTCCGCTTCCACTGTAGTTCCTCCAGATTCTGGTCAACACAGCCTGCAGGATCTTGCGGAACATAAATCAGATCATGTCACGCCTCACCAAACTCCTGCCAGAGTAAAAGCCAAAATCTAGAGTTTGCCTACAAGGCCCTCCATGTTCTGGGTCTCCATTGTCCCTCTGACCTCATTCCTACCTGGTTCACTGCACTTTGGTCACAGTGGCTTTCTTGCTGTCTTTGGAACATAGCAAGCCAGCTCCTGCTTCAGGGCCTTTGTCCTTACTGTTCCCTCTACCTAGAACACTCTTCCCTCAATATCCACAGTCCTTTACTAAAATGTTTACTAAGACATTCTCTGGCCACCCCATCTATCCCACCCCAACCCTGACTATCCCCCTTCTCTGCTTCCATTTTTTCCTCCTCCTTGGCACTTTATTACATTATAGCATTCTACATGTTGTACATATTTATCTTGTTTGTTGTTGTTCAGTCTCATTAGAATATAAGCTCTTTGAGAACAGGAATTTTTGTCTGTTTTGTTCACTGTTGTATCTCCAACATGTACAGCAGTGCCCTGCACACAACAGACACACAATATTGATTGATTGATTCATTGAGATGGAATCTCGTTCTGTTACCCAGGCTGGAGTGCAGGGGTGCAATCTTGGCTCACTGCAACCTCCACCTCTCAGGTTCAAGCAATCCTCCTGCCTCAGCCTCCCAAGTAACTGGGGTTACAAGCATGCACCGCCATGCCTGGCTAATTTTTGTATTTTTAGTAGAGACGGAGTTTCACCATGTTGGCCCGGCTGGTCTCAAACTCCTAACCTCAAATGATCTGCCCACCTCGGCCTCCCAAAGTGCTGAGATTACAGGTGTGTGCCACCACGCCTGGCTGGTACATAATTAAATGAATTAAGAGAGTTTTGGCTGGGTGTGGTGGCTCACGCCTGTAATCCCAGCACTTTGGGAGGCCGAGGTGGGCAGATCACGAGGTCAAGAGATCGAGACCATCCTGGCCAACATGGTGAAACCCCGTCTCTACTAAAAATACAAAAATTAGCTGGGTGTGGTCGCTCGCGCCTGTAGTCCCAGCTACTTGGGAGGCTGAGGCAGGAGAATTACTTGAACCCAGGAGGTGGAGATTGCAGTGAGCCGAGATCACGCCACTGCACTCCAGCCTGGCAACAGAGCAAGACTCTGTCTCAAAAAAAAAAAAAAAAAAAGAAGAGTTTTAAGAAGAGGAGTGCCATTATCAGACTTACATTTTTAAAAAGGTAACTCTCACTGGGTTAATAAGTTGAGGATGGACTAGAGCAGAAGCAGGGAGACCCATTAGGATCTGTGGCAGTAATCCAGGGCCACCATGTGCAGTCATGAGGGTTGTATATTGCACCACTGCAGTGAGATGTGAAAACGTGTTCCTTAGAAATGTACACCAGCCTTGGTGAAAACCATGGAACTGATTAGAATTGGTAAGTCTGGCTTTATATTGAAGGTAGAGTCCGCTACCATTTACCAACAGATTGAGTGTAGGATATGAAAGAAGGAAGAATCAAAGCCATTTCCAAGATGTTTGGTCTAGGTGTAACAAATGACAGTAGTGCAAATGATTAAGCAGCCTTTCTATTCACAAGTGCTTACTGCATTTCAAACCCGAGGACACAAGCTGAGCCCCCGAGTCCTCACCTGGCTCCTCCAAACCGTATCTCCAACTATACTTTTCTCCTCTACTCATTCAACCGTTTGCTACACCATCCCTCAACAAGCCCTGTACTTTCCAATTTTCGAGCCTTGCTCATCCTATACCAAACTGACTGCATCTGACCAAGTCCTAGCTGGTTCAGATAACTCTCCCGAGCAGCCTTTTCTAATCCCCTAATTCAAAAATCTTTCGCCCAATCTCCTCCCTTCTGTGCCTCTGTAACTGCACCTACCTAGCCAGGGTCGTATTCGAGGGATTTCTGTTTATAAACATTCACAAGCCCCCATCCTACCACCAATCCCCACCCGGACTGTGAGCACCCTACAGACAAGACCCAAATGTTGAATCACTCTCTTCTTGCTCCTCCGAATATTTATTGTGTGACGCCTGACAGGAAGTAGAGGCTCTGTAAATGTGTATTGAGTGAATATGAAAGCTTCACAAATTTCAAGGGTCAGCTTCCTTGGCGGCCAGGGATATATACGCCCTATGCAGAGCCCGGCTCCAACGCCTCTTGTAGAAAGAAGGACACTGACCAGGACATTTGCAGCGTCACAAAAGATCCTGTCAGCGCGAGGCCTGCAGGCGGCCCTCCATAGTGAAATATGTGCTTCTGCAACCCCTCAAAGTAGGAACTGCAGGGTGACTCTGCATCAGCTGACTACAGGCAGATTTCCAGGCTGACTGGCTGGAAAAGAAAAAAAAAAAACGCGGAGTTCGACGCCGCGCGCAGCACCAAACACTTCCCCAGAAGGGCGCAGCCTGGAGGCGGCCGCGCGCAGGACGCACGCCCAAGGCGCCTGGGCCGCTAGGGACCGACCGGAGCGCTCAAACCCACAGGGTATCTATCAGGCGCGCGTCAGCACGTAAGCAGAGCGCGAGAACGCCCGAGACGGCGGCGCAGCCAATCCCAGAGCAGCGCTCCCCAACGGCCGGCCGGAGGGCGGGGAGAGAGGGGGGCTCGGCCAGAGCCACGCTTCCCATTGGTTGAGACAGCACCGCCCAGCCAAAGCCCCCTTGTCCTCGCGCGGGTGCGCCGCCTGGACTCCCACCCTGGCCAGTCCCGGGCCCACCACCACTCTGGCATCCCCAGCCTGTCCCCGCGGCTCCTCCTCCTTCCCCGGCCCTGTGGCCTGCCTGCTGTCCAGCATTCTTCCCCAGGGCGCTGTGGCGCGGAGGGAGGACTCCCCAAACCCCGGGAACAGAGCCTTGCGGAGGACCCCGGAGGAGGAGGAGGAGGAGGGACGCGGACGGGACTGGGAGATTCGGTCGGGAAGGGGACAGGGCCTAGAGCCCGGGGCTAGAAGGCAGGACACCTGGCTTCGGTCTGGGCTCGGCCTTTGACTACGACGTGACCTTGAGGACGGTTCCTTCCCTTCGTGGGGCCTGGGTCCCCTTCAGTAAGATGCGCCGGCAGGAAACGATGAGTCGTTTCACCTGGGAGCTGCAGGGCCGCGTGTTTAACCCAGGGCCTCCTCCTGCCTGGCACATTATTCCGAATAATAAATGCCAGATCATGCTGCTGGAGACGCCGGCAGAAAAGCCGAGAGGGAGACTCCCTGGGGTCTGGGCGCGATCGGCCATCCTACCCTTACCCCGCTGCGGCCGCAGGGCTCGGCCTGTAGGGCGCGAGCCCCCCTTCCCCACCCGTATCCCGGCTTCGGAGCTAAAGGAACACGTGAGGCCGAACCAAACCGAGTAGAGGGCGCCAGGGAATCCCGCCCGAGCTGCAGAGACGCGGACCCCTCCTCTTACCCAAAACCAAATGGGCAGGGGGCTCCGCTGCAGAGGGCTCGCCGAGGCTCTCGCCTTCACCCGGCGCCGCGCAGGTGCCCGCTCTCCTGCGGGGAGAGCCGAGGGGGGGCGCTGCCGCAGGGTCTTTCTGGAAGCCCCTCCACCAGCACTCCTGCGGCCTGCGGCCTCCGCCACCCGGACGCTTCTACACGCGAAGCGCGCGCTGGGGCTACGCTGGGCGGGGCTCACGGCGGCGTGGCTGTCGGGGGGCCGCCGAGCCGCCTCCTCCGCGCTGGGTGCCCGGCTGGCGCTCCTCCCGCCCAAGGTGCCCTGATCGCTAGGCTCCCGGTGCGGCCGTCTCGCCCCTAAGCCGGGCGCCAGATCCCCCGCCGCCTTCTCGCTCCCCGACCGCTGGGCGGGGGCGAGGGCCAGGGAGATGGAGCCAGGTGCGGAAAGGGTTGCAGCCTCGCGGGCTGAGGCCGGAGGGTGAAGGCGCCGCTCCTTGAAGTGAGGAAAACTCCGGTGAGGAAGAGGCTCTTTCCAGGTCCTGTGCGTGTTGCTGTCTTTAGAGCTCATTAGGGTTGGTTGGTTTTTAAATTTCTTTTGATCAGATGAATTTATTTAAAGGCCGGGGGCGGTGGCTCACGCCTGTAATTCCAGCACTTTGGGAGGCTGAGGCAGGTGGATCACTTGGGGTCAGGAGTTCGAGACCAGCCTGGCCAACATGGTGAAAACCAGTCTCTACTAAAAATACAAAAGTTAGCAGGGCGCGGTGGCGCACGCCTGTAATCCCAGCTACTCGGGAGGCTGAGGCAGGAGAATCGCTTGAACCCAGGAGGCGGAGGTTCCAGTGAGCCGAGATTGCACCATTGCACTCTAGCCTGGGCGACAGAGTGCTCCGTCTCACAAAAACAAAAAAATTAAAGATTTGCTTCTCAGGGTCTTTAAAAATAAATTAAGAATAGCAGTTTCCCAGAGTTTTAATAATAGAACAACGGAGGGCCATCGGCCACAGATAAGGGTTTCCTCCCAACCCCACCCCACTGCGCTATCGCCCTGCGCCAGCACACCTCAGTTTCCAGGATGAGAAACAGGCTGAGGAGAGAAGACACCAGGACACATTAGTGGCGAAGCTACGCGAAAGGAAAATAAACCTTGGGGCCCCCAAATCACTAGGCTAAAGGGGAAAGTCAAGCTGGGAACGGCTTAGGGCCAACCTGCCCCCATTCTACTCAAAATCACCCCCTGCTCACTGAGATAAATGCATATCTGATTCCCCCTTTGGAGAGGCTCATCAGAAACTCGAAAGAATGCGACCATTTGTCTCTCATCTACCTATAACCTGGGGGCTCCCTCCTTGCTTCGAGTTGTCCCACCTTTCCAGACTGAGCCAATGTTCATCTTACATATGTTGATTGATGTCTCATGTCTCCCTAAAATGTATAAAACCGAGCTGTGTCCCAACCACCTTAGGCACATGTCAGGACTTCCTGAGGCCATTTCACTTGCGTGCATTCTTAACTTTGGGAAAATAAACTTCCTAAATTGATCTGGCTCAGATTTTGGGGGTTCACAACTATGTTTAGGTAAAGTACAGAGAAGGAATGAATAGAATGAAGAGAATGAATGAAACTTGCAAATACAGGAAGATGAAAACAGGAGGAGGGAAGTACTGGCATGATGAAGATTTAAAGAAAACTGTAGACCGGGTGCGGTGGCTCACGCCTATAATCCCAGCACTGTAGGAGGCTGAGGCGGGTGGATCACTTTAGGCCAGGAGTTTGAGACCAGCCTGGCCAATGTGGTGAAACCCTGCCCTTCGTAGTGGATGCTTGTAATCCCAGCTAGGTGGGAGGCTGAGGCAGAAGAATTGCTTAAGCCTGGGAGGCAGAGGTTGCAGTGAGCTGAGATGGTGCCACTGCATTCCAGCCTGGGCAACAGTGGGAGACTGTCTCAAAAAACAAACAAACAAATAAAACTGTTGGCTCTGTCTGTCCATTCTGTGAGCTTCTGGAGAGCTAAGGCTATCTCCTTTATCCCCAGCTCCTGGCACATACAGCCTTGAAGACTGGGAGAATCAGGAAGGGAGGATGCACTTAGTTTTCTGTTCCCGTTTCACAGATAGACTCAAGCCTGGATTTGCTCCAGTGACGGTGTTTCAGAACATTAGGCATATAGTACCACAGGGTTAAAAATAAATCACTATACTAAAATTACGCCTTGAGGATTATGCTTTGCTAGAAAAGTAGTTAAAGGAAGAATTCTTCTTTACCCCAAGGGAAAAAACATAGATCCTGACTCTGAGAATTAAACTGAATTGTAGTCCTATTTGCATAAGACAGAAAAGGACATTTGACCTTTCTGAGGTTGTATTACACATCTGGCCTTACATCTTCCCAGCCCAGCTTTGCTGTGACAACCAGGTATGAACAGGTGTAACCTGAGAGCACCTTGCCTCAGCTGCACCTGGTATTCTGCGTCTCTGGCACTGCAACCTGGGACCCTTGCAGGAATCCGCTGTCCACTCTGACACATGAGTAAACCTGGAAGTGCAAAGGAACACCTCAAAGGACAAACTTTGACCAAAGGGCAGGCAGGAACTGCAGGAAAAATACTCTGCTCTTCCAGTCTTCCAGTGGGCAATTCTGAGATATGTTCTATGCAGCTCCTAAAATGATAGCATTCTGTTTGCCCATAGTAGTGACCGACTTGATCAACTCACGAATACACCCTTGGATGCCATTCTCTTTCCCTCCTTCCCTATTTGACTCTTCCCAGCCCTCCCCTCCAATTCCTTGGGATTTTGTTATGTAGCTTTAAATGATTCCGAACACTTTCACTTTTCTGTGAGAGTGATATTGTTTTACTGTGATTAGAACATGCAGGGAACTCTCCCTAGCCAAGGGAATGTCATGTCACACCTTATCAGACCCCGCATGGGAGCTACTGACCTCAACCACTGGACTCCAAACACATAGAAACCCAGGATTTTGACAGACGCTTGGAGAGCTTAGGATGTGGCGAGGCCACTCTCTGGAAGCCTTGAAGCTGTTTTTGAAGCCTTGTCTCACAACACTGGCACCGCTCTCTAGCAGCAAGAGACCTCACGTATCTTCATGGATC